>NC_000009.12:31525151-31676666 GCF_000001405.40 Homo sapiens | reverse complement strand
TGTTTCACATACTTTCTCCATTTTTACTTATTTCAGGTGGGAGCACAAATCTGCTTCCAGAATTCCATCCTGGTTGGAAATGAAACTCCTCACTGTAGTTTTAATATACAAATCCCTTATGCCGAGAGAGATTAGGCATCTTATATGAATTTGAAGACATAGGTATAGAAACTATTTTAAATGAAACACAGAGAAAAGAAACATTAAAAATGTTTAAGTATTGTTACATATCCTTTCATGCATGCATGGATTTTCTTAGGTTTTGACTTGCTTCTAAAATTTTCAGTGTTTTTCTACTTTATTTGCAGTTTTTTTGTTGTTGTTGTTTATTAGGTAATTTGAGCCTTACAGTGCCCTGAGCCTTTCAAATCACAGATCTTTAGATTCCATTAGACAACAGCCCCATAAATAGGAATCTTAGGTGTGACTGAGGTTCCATTTATCTTCGTCACCTGACTCTGCAAAGTCTAGCTCCTGATCTTCTCTCTTTCTATCTTCGTGTAGATGATATCCTTATCCCCAGTTGTCACACAACTTTGGTCAATCAGGTGCATCTTTATGCATTCTAACAAGTTTTATTACCCATAGGTAATAGATGATATTTATAAGAAGAGGAAGAAGTCAAGTTTCAAAAAAGGACCCCAGGCAATGTATAAAATCTGCATGTCCCCTCCCAGTAGCCTTTAAGTCTTGCATTATTTCTCTCAACAGAAAGGAAATATCACCAGAAATTTTGTTGCACAAAAGAAATGGATAACGTTGCTGTTCTTTTTCTCACTTTATCATATATCCTAGGCATTTATATTTTAACGTTAATTCTATCACTGCTTAAAATGATTCCTTAGTAGATCTATTATGGGAGAATCATCAATTTAAGATAATTATTAGTTTAGTTTTCAGGTTTTTAAATAATTTAGGTCCATAGTCCCTTATTTTCAATTTTGAAACCCCAAAAGCACTTAAAATTAAATGTCTCTTTTTCACTAATTTAGAGGTTGAAACTAAGCTAGCCTGAAGTCATTTGATGTCAGAAACTCACCAGAACTCACCTAAAACTATTTACTGTCTGTGTTTATTCCACTTCGTGCAAATATTCATATATTCCTATTTAGAAATATTAATGTTGTTTTGTGATGAAATGCTTCCCTGAATGCCTCTGATAGTACTGCATAACACACACACAGCCGTGCACATGTGCACACACACCATGTAGACTTTCTAAAGTCATAAAATAATTTTGAAATACAAATTGCTCCCAAGAGTGGACCTATAGAATTTCTGCAGTGCATGCCCTAAAACATATATCTACCAACTCAAGTATATTGTTTTTATAATTCTTAGTACTGAAATTGGTAGTTAAAAGACAAGTGAAGTTTTCGGTAGTTATTCACAAATTGTTTTCCAAAAAATATCAGTTTACATTCCCTGCAATACTGAATTTTATTAATTTTAAATCTTTGCCAGTCTTAAAAGTTAAAAGTCTACTTAATTCTTTAGTAATTGAAAAGGTTGGCATTTTTTATAACCTTATTTAGCATTTATCTTTTTCTTATATGCGTTAACATTATGCTTTTATCCAATTTTCTAGTAGGTTTTCATGTTTTTTGATTTCATTGTTAATGGTAGAATTTTTAATTGTTTTGTGGTTAGACTTGCCTCAACAAATTTGAAATTTATATGTCAAATTTATAAGTCCTCTATGGATTTATAAATGTTATAAATGTTATTTTTGTCCCACCGAGGATTTAAAAACTATTTTCACTCATTTTGTTTTTTTCTGATTAATTGTATTGTTTTTCGATTAATTTTATGAGTTTTGTGTAATTCATGTGACATATATACTGTAAAATGTTTTTCGAACTTATTTATCTTGCTTTCTTGCCATAATTTTTTTTATTTTGTTCCTTGATTTAATGTGATTGAAGTTATCAACCTTTTTCCTTTACTGATTCAAAGTTTTTCTTAGAAAAGCATGTCATTCAAGGAATATAATAGTATCTTATCTTTCAGTGGTTTAAAGAATGCCTCAGAAAGAGTAAAGATTAGTAGAAAAATGTGAAAAAGGATAATTATATGTAGATTAAAGTGAAATTAACCTAAATAAAATTAGATACATGACCAGAGGCTGATGCTTTATTCAAAAGTATCTTATTTAGGCCACTAGGCTTTATGAACAGTCATCAAGAATACCATTTGCAGAAGTAACTTAACCAATTTGTATATGAGTCATATTCAATGAAGTTATAGGCTGATGATCTCACAGTTAACAATTCTCATATATTTCTTTTTCTCATATGGAGCATTTTAGAGCTCAGAAAATTATTAATAAAGTTAATGTCACCTACTGAATGCTTAGGGAAATGAATTCCTAAGCGAGCTCTCTAATAAGACTCATATATTTTATTTTAACTTCAATTTGGTGAATCTCAAACAGGTTAAAACAAGTTAACCAGTATTACCTTCTAATCAACTTTACAGTAAATGGGGGAACAGTCATCTTTTTATTTTGAAGTTCTACTATCAGCACCTAATATCTGACTTAAAGAAGTTCATAAACCCAGGAGCTTATAAATGACTAAAGTTTTAATGACTTAAACTAAAAGGATCTGAACATTTATGGATATGAGTTTTTTTTTTTTTTTAACATAAACTCCCACCCTCTCAGTGAGAGAAAAGGTAGGGAGGCGTCATAAGATATACTGGGCTCCCTTAATCCAGATCAATTGAATTAGACTCTACGGGTGGCTCAGACAGAGTAGTTTTTAAAGCTTCTCACTAATTCTTGTGTGCAGCTGTCATTGAGAAACAGTGCTCTAGGTATTAGTCTCCATAGGTTTCTGCAGTCAAGTTACGTTTTTCCCTTGCTGGACAAATTTATGTAGGCCTTAGAATTATATAGTAAAACTGCTTATGTCAACTGACAGTGTTTCAACAGTGAAAACTCTGAAAATAGCAAAAACTTTGAGAAACTGGACCAAGGTATTATTAGAGATCAAAGTATTATTATTGGTACTTCCTTGTTCAAAATATTAGTTGGGTCCCTGTGACTAATTTTGGCTGCTACGCTGTAGGCAGAGGTGTCCAATGTCACTTTTGAGTTCAAACACTTAAAAGTCAGTGTCCAGCCCTCGAGTGCACTCTTCCCTAACACAGCAACTGAGACTGCATGTTCCATACAGTAAAGCCACAAGATAGTAGAGCCTTTGTCATGCTGGGTCTCTGAGTGCCTGCATGGAGCAGAGTGCCCTGGCCAGAGTTGGACATGTAGTATGAGCAAGAAATAAATATTGTTAAGTTATTAATTTCAGGGTTGTTTATACTACAACATAGCCAGTCAAGCCTTTCTCATACATGGGTTTGGAGCAGTCTTTTCAGAACTTGTAGCTCAGGAACTAGACATGAAGAAGGACTGAGAACACCACGATCAAGTTTTTTCCCTGGCGTTATTGGGACAGCACATAGAAGTACTTAGAGATTTTAGAAAGTGGTTGCTATTTTTTGAATGTACATGTCCCTCCAAAATTCATGTGTTGGAACATTAACCCCAAGTTGATGGTATTAAAAGGTGGGGCCTTTGGGAAGTGATTAGGCCATGAGGGCTCCACCCTTATAAATGGGATTAATGCCCTTATAAAAGAGGCTTCAGAGAGCTGCCTTGTCCTTTCAACTCTTCTGCCATGAGAGGACACAGCATTCACCCCTTTCACCATGTGAGGATACAACAGCAAGGTGCCATCTGGGAAGCAGAGAGCAGCCTCATTAGACACTGAATTTATTGGTGCCTTGATCTTGGACTTCCCAGCCTCTAGAATGGTAAGCAATACATTTCTATTGTTTATAAATTGCTAAGTCTAAGGTATTTTATTAGAACAGTGGGAATCAACTAAGTTGTTATCAGGAACAGAATATTTATAAAACAGTATTCCAAATTTACAATAATATTAATGAAGAGATGACACTGGAAATTCTTAAGGTGGTTTTAAAACTCAAGATGTAGCAAAACTAAGCAGTTCTATTATAGATAGAAAGATTTTGAATATCAATTTTCCTAATGTAAGAATAATCAGTGAGAGTGATCAGTTAGATCAATTGCCTGCATAATTTAATATAGCCAAATTGCTGATAAATGGAACTTCTATCAAATGGTTTAATCTGGCTGTACAACACTTGTGCTATTTCTGTATATGTCTGTGTTTAACTGAACATTAATGTTTATGCATGCATAATGCTTTTTATACGTATATATAATTTGTGTTACATGGCAAAAGATTCAAAAGATACTAAAGAGGGGAGAGAAGAGTGCACATCATAATTTTTTCATTTTTCTTTCTGAATCCATAGAGATTCTTTACATTTGCATATACATGTATTTTTTACCACATTAATGGCATAAACAATACAAGATGTTCATTACTTTTATTGTTTAGCCTAATACCTTACAGCAGGGCTCAGCAAACTTTTTTTCTGAATAGCCAGATAATAAATATTTTAGGCTTCCTTTCTGTAGCCATAAACAATACATAGATGGATGAGCATAGCTGTATTCCACTAAAACTTTATTTAAAAAACAGGTGGTGAGCCAGATATGGCCTACAGGCAATAGTTGTCAACCTGTTTTGGAGAGTTTTTCTTATCAATATATACATAGTTAATTCATTCTTTTAAAAAAATTAGTGTCTAGTTCTCTATCAAACTCTAGTTTACAGTTTTTTTTTTTTCAGCAAACAGTACTGTAAATGAGGAAACTGAGGAATAGGAGAAATGTAACTTGCCCCTAGATCACTAAGATAACAAGTGGTAGACTAGGATTGACTGGAGCACAGATCATCTGGCTCCAGAAGCCCCACTCATGAACATCACCATACACGGCTTCTACCATACATTATGATTGGGATATAGGGTTTCATTTTGGAAATGGAACTTTGGTCACACTTTCTTCACACTCAGTGGTAAGGTCCATCTGTGTGTCTCTGATTCCCACCCACTGTGAACATTGCCATTGAGTATACCACTGCTTCTACATGAGGCCTCTGGTGACTACAAAGATAATTATACTCTGATTCCCTCTTCGTTTTCCAGCCTTAATTTATAGACGGAGGGAAGGCTGTTCACACAGGAGTAGTCTATCAAAATGCCCATTCACACTGCAGCTTTTACACTTGATAACAAATGTCTTGTTCTCTGAGTTTTCAGAATTCGTTCAATTTGTACTGGAGACCTCTAGGTACAGGAGGTGGGTGTGTTGGCAGTCATATGTGTCCTATTTGTGAACAAATTCTGCACTCCATCAATACCATTAAATATTAGTGGGTCATCTAATTTTGAACTAGTGCCACGTGCTTGCTCTGGGAATTTGATTTGGTGCCAATTTGACCTCAAAGTTCACAGCTTGAACTTTCTGTATCATCTTGACTCATCATTTTTGCTTACAATAATTTTTTCCACTCACCCATCTTCATTTCCGTGTGCATGTCAGCCTAAGTTTCCATCCTACCTCAAGACCTCGTATTTTTATATACACATTTTGTTATCTAATTCCACCCCCAGTATTTTATTCAGAATATTTAGTCTGGTGTGGTCTGTGGACTGGCAGCATCAATACCCAGGAGTTGGTTACATATGTAGAATCTCAATTTCACCATCTTCAGACCTACTGAGTCAAAATCTCTAAGGAAGTCACCCAGAAACTTGGGTTTTAACAAGGTCTCCGAAGAATTTTTATGTCCACTCAAGTTTGAGAAGCACTGTTCTAAGCAATTGCATACATTTCGAATAAATCTAAAAAACTCAATAGCTTAATAGAATAAAGGCTTATTCTGGATGACATCACAGTCACTTCAGGTTAGGTGGCTCTCCTTGGGAACTGTCTAACAAGCCAAGGATTCAAGTTATTTTCATTGCTTGATGCTATCAGCATATGGACTCCATGTTCACTGTAGATAGAAAATGGACGACTGAGCAGATGTCTTAAGGTAAAGCTTAAAAACAGCATACATTACTTTTGCCCACATGTAATTGGCTAAAACACAGCCACATAGCCCCAGTCTTTGTCCAGGAAGGCTTTAACATGTAGAGAAAAATGCGGGTTTACATGGGTGCTCACTAGCAGTCTCTGCCACCCGTTGGCTGGCCTTTACTTGGTTCACTACTTCCTAAGGTTTCATTAAATGTATCATCTCTTAATGCAAATCTGGTGCTGGGTAGTGATGTTGTTTACTCCTTGTTATACCTGAGGATACTTAAGGTTTAATTCTGATTAAAAGATTTTACATCTTAATTTTGATATGTAGTATTAACAAATTGCCATTCAATTATGTTTAATAATGTATACTTCTAAAATTTTCATTCTCACATTATAGAAATTTGACAACAGCATAATTTTAATTCAAATTACTTTATTAGATCATTTCTCCATATTCTGATGTCATTGTTTTTCAGATTTTCAACTACATTCTTGGTTTAATTTACTGAGGCATTTTCTTGCCCATGTTTTCTTGTAGGATCTTTTGCTGTTTATAAAGACATTTATTTTTCTTGAGATTATGATTGCTTTTGACCGCTCAGAGTTTTGGAGTTAGTTATGGTTAGGAATATGTTACCATTTGTTACCATTTACCCTATGTTACCATTTGCCATATTTCATCTTTTTGAGGTTATTTAGTTTCCTGACAGGCTGAGAAAGATTTTTTT
Organism: Homo sapiens; assembly: GCF_000001405.40. Taxonomy (NCBI): domain Eukaryota; kingdom Metazoa; phylum Chordata; class Mammalia; order Primates; family Hominidae; genus Homo; species Homo sapiens. The sequence continues at coordinate 31,669,976 of NC_000009.12, read as the reverse complement.
TTTACTTGAACATTATGAAAATATTCTCTGTATTCCTCTAAACCATGGTTTAAGAAAAAAGGATGATAGGAATTCAAGAACTGATGGGTATTAGAGATCTAATAAACCTGAGAAAAAAAGAACGTTCTTTAAAAAGAGCTAAAATGGGTAGTTTCATGAAGAGCCAAAGGGACAAAAGTGACAGCATTGACACAAGAGTCCTTCAATAAACCAGCATAGAATTTGTGAGCAGTTAGCAACAGGGACACTTATGAGAAATAAGGCTCATTTTAGAGTTATGTCACTCTGGGCACAGGACGATTATTTGATTCAATCTCATAACTAGAAAAACTGTTTTTTTTCCTGGACTATATGCCTCTAAAAATGGAATTCTATTAAATAGTTCCTCAGTGGTCAGAAAAACTCATCACTAAATGTTTTCCCTCACTGCTATGCCTTATGTTGCATACCCTAAATCGAATTTGACAATTAGAGTAAAATCCTTGTTTTGAGTAACTTAATCCTACTTTCCTGTCACCATTGCAGTCTGAGACCCTGTATTAGAAATGCATCATTCCTTTTCATAGCTTCTACATCTTTCTACCCAGGACATTTATTTGATTGCTTCTGTAATCAGGAACATGTCATTAACAATGTCCTTTGGCATGCTCCGTCTCTGTACTATTTATTACCAGTCCTATGTCAGCTTTCTTCTCCCTAAGAAGGCAACAGGGCCAAATCCTTTGTCCTTCTCCTATCTCTATCTAATCTTTTTCTGATCAAGCTTGATTTCATACCTAACCACCACCTATCCCTGAATAAATGAGACTCACTGTAAAATTTATTTGCTTTTAAATACATGTATTATTACCTTGTCATACGATCTACTAATTTCAAATATTTTTATTTTTAGTTTTTAGGAAAATAATAAAAATCAGTAGCTCCTTAGACTGTTCACCATGGTAAAGGTAACCAAATTTTATTTAACTACAGCCTTGTGCCTGCCATTGAAAAAAAATTAACTAAATTTTGTGATTATAAAATTATAAAAGTTATGTATCCACATGTTAATCAATACAGAAACATTGTATTACCTCTTTTTAATCCAGAGGAAACTTGATTTATGTAGATCCCTGCAGATATATTCTATTAATAATATTTTTGTATTCACACTATGTTTCTTTTATAAATAAACTACCATTCATACTGCTCTGCTCTTTGTTACTTAACAGTACATCATAAAGGTCTTTCCATTTCAAGCACACAGATACGCTTCATCTTTGCAAAGTCTACGTGGGGTTTCAGTGGATGCTTCTATCAATTTACTTACATAGTACAGGGCAGTTCCTTGTTTGCCTGACTCCAAAGCTGATGAACATAATACCTAGAAAAACCAGTGTCCACTCATTAAATTTGACAGATGAAATTACTGAGGCCTAAAGAGCGACGCTTGAGGGCACCATGGAATCAGTGGACACGTTGGGTACCAGGTGCTTTTTTGTTTCCTCCTGAGTTCCAATTCAGAACTCTTTTATAATATTATTTTCTTTTGGAATTAGATGAACATAAGGTATCTATAGGTAGCTTTATCGGTAAAACAGAAGAGCATCTGGTACCTTAAATGGTGTTAGGGAAAAAAAGAGTGTCTACACATGGTGGGTTGAATTCTAGCTGCAAGATTGCTGAGGGCAAGCCCATTTTCTGTCAGAAAATGAGAAGAGCAAGAGAATATATATTTTAGGGAAAATTGGGACAGAAAAGCAGTCAAAGTCAACTTATTTTCCACAGAAAATTTCTTGTATTTCATCAGTTGGATTTTAACTACTTCTCTTTTCTTTTTCTTTTCTTTTCTTTTCTTTTTTTTTTTTTTTTTATGGGAACTCATTCTGTTGCCCAGGCTGGAGTGCAATGGTGTGATCTTGGCTCACTGCAACCTCTGCCTCCCAGGTTCAAGTGATTCTCCTGCCTCAGCCTCCCGAGTAGCTGGGGTTACAGGCGACCACCACCACGCCCAGCTAATTTTTGTATTTTTAATAGAGACAATGTTTCACTGGGTTGGCCAGGCTGGTCTCGAACTCCTGACCTCAGGTGATCCACCCACCTCGGCCTCCCAAAGTGCTGGGATTACAGGCCTGAGCCACCGTGCCCAGCCCAGATTTTAACTTCTTTTCTATCCCAAAGATTCATCAATGAGAGAGAGAAAGGGAGGCATGGAGGTTGGGGTGTCGGGAGAGAGAGAGAGAGATTGATTTAGTCAAGTCTTGTAAACTGTGGTAGTTCAGGGCCATGATTTAATCCCCAGGATAGGTGTGCCCTCAATATAGCACCAGCTCAGAGTTCAAGTATCACATCTCGTATGTTTTTATCTGTCCCATGCAGATTTCCTGTACTTTACTGTGAGCTCAGCAATGCATTAAAAAGTAGTCATTGTGATTTATCCAGTGTGTTGGCATTTGCTTTGGAGGACTTTTCTTCAAAATATTTAGTTAGCCATGATGTTGGAAGTAGAAGTCCCTCTGAATTTTTTTAGTAATTTTCATTATTTCTATTCAAGTATACATACAGACAAGTGCACAAATCATAAGTGAAACTTTATGGATTCCAACATGAACAAAAAATGTAACCAGTGCCAGATCACAAGACAGAACTTCGTCAGCCTCTTAGAAGTGTCACCATTCCTCCTTTCAATCATGAGGCCCAAATGGAAAATAACCACTGTGCTAACTTTTAACACCATATACCTGGGTTTGCACTTTATAGAAATGGAATCAGGTAGAATGCACTCTATGTGTTAGGCTTCTCACACTCCATGTGAGAACATAATACCCTGGACTACCACAGTGTACAGGACTTGACTTGTGATATTTGTGAGATTTATCCATAGTGTCTCTACATGTAGCTGTTCATTCTCCTTGCTGTGTAGGATTTCATTGTACATATGTAGAAAAGTTTAGCCTTTTTTTGATGGATATTTGGTTAGTTCCAGTTTGGAATTTTTACGAGTAGTTGTATTTTAAACTTTCTTCAACATATCTTTTGGTGAACAGATGTACACATTCTTATTGTATATATCTGTGAATATGATTTCTAGGTCATAGATGCGCATATTTTTGGCCTACTTTCTATCGAATTGTCTGCATTTTATTGATTTGTTGAGCTATTTATATTTTCTGGATGTAGATATATGGCTAGATATAAATATTGATTGTTTCTTCTTTGTGACTTGTCTTCTACTCTCATTGTTCCCTTTTGATGAATAAGAGTTCTTAATTTTAATAGGTTAATTTTTCAAAATTTCCACTTACGGTTATGGTTTTTTATGCCCTTTCAAGAAATATTTGCTCACTTCAGTTCATGAAGACATTTAATATTTTCTTCTAAAAGCTTTATTTATCCTTTACATTTAGATCTACAATCCATCTGTAATTGATTTTTTTATGGTCTGATTTGCTTCAACACAAATGGCTTGTTTTCATCATTATTCTGCTAAAACTGTTGTGCTTTTGGAAGGTCATCAAGTAACCCTAGGGCTGTTCATATTACTGCTCATTAAATATATTTTATGGCTTCTCATGAAAACCACAAATGTTAAACTACTTAGCAAGGCTATGAAAAACTTCACAATTGTGCCCCACATTGATTTTCTAGCATCATGGCCTATAACCCTGTATTCCTCCAGAATTACTTATCCATGTCCCTTTCTAGCTATATTTTAGTGTATCAGTAATGCATTTCCTTCTGCACTGCTTTTATCCTTTATTATATAAAGTCCTGCTCATGTTTCCTAGTGTGTATGTATATATACATATATATGTATGTATATATACATATATATGTATGTATATGTAAGTATATGTGTACATATATACATACACACATATATACATACATATTTTATATATATAGTGTGTGAGTGTATATATAGGTATATATGTATATATAGGTATGTGTGTATTTATGTGTGTTTGTGTGTGTACATATATATAGTAGCCAACCCCTGCTCTCCAAGGCAAGTTTATTATATCACTCCCTCAGCTGTTCTTGTGTTTATTCCTGTTGTAATATTTTCTAGGTTGTATTCTTATGTCATTTCAATGAAGGAGGTACTATTATCCTCATTTTACAGATGACAAAACTCAAGAATAGAAATAAAAATGTCCAAAAAGTAAAATACAAAAATTAAAATAAATGTAGAGATTGGATGGACACATATTTTATCATCTTTCCCTAACATTTTATGGTAACTGGTTTTCTAGCACTCAACATCATTTCAGGGACATTGGCATCTTTCTAAAATGTTGTGAGAAAGGAACCAAATGACACTTCTCTTAAGTAGTAAAGAAAGCTTCTTGTTAGGCTTGCTTCACTCAAACCAAAAATCTGTCTAGACATTCCAATCGTACTAAATGAAATTTGAAAGGAGATGATGCAGGAATTGGGTGGAATCCTCACCCCTGAAGCCAAGGCCTTCCTGAAGTTCCCTTTCTCTCAGTAGGCCCTGGTAAGCCCAGTGTTAGGAGTGCCTTGGCATTGAAGAGACAATAATATGCATAGTGACTGAGTCTTCTGCATTTCTTCTTTATAATAATACCAAGATGGAGAATTTTAAGAAAGATAGTCTAGAATGTGACACCTAGAAATTCATGATAGCATAAATTATCAGTCAAATCAAACTGTAAACTTCTCTTCACCTGCTTTTTTAATTTAGCCTCTCAGATTCCCAAAATGCTGTATTGAACATAGACTAACAAAGCAAATGAGGTGCAGGTGAGAAATACTTCATCTGGCAATGCAGTCTTTATTAACATTAATAGCACTTTCCTCCGCACAATCTTATAAGTTTGAACTCATGATACTTAAAGTTGCATATGTAGTGTTATTTTAAAAAGCCCAGCTGAATACTGGGTTGGCATCTCCTATGCTACTCTGAATTCCATAAAGCCAGTAAGCTGCTCCTCAGCATAGTTTACATTCATATTCTTAACATATCTCTTTTAAGAAAGCGAAACTTAGTGGCTATGTAATGCTACTGCTCTGGGTAGTGGCAAATGTGATTTGAAAAAACATTTTGGGCAAGGAAATAAACTACTATCACCTGGGAGAAAAGCGATAGAGCCCATATCTGTTATAACTTCTGGAGGCATTCTGATAGTTTTTTATTTTTTCATTTATTTTCATCCTACGTTCCTTTAAGCCAAATTTTGCTTTTCATACAGCCCTGTTCTATATGTTTGATCCTCTTATCATTCATTTCTTGAGCAACCGTATTTCTTTATGAATTCTCTATTAAAAATACTTGGCACATTTTTTAGAGAGAGCTTTCTGTTTCTTGAATTATAACTATTCAAAGGGAATTGTCTGCTGAATGTTTGTGGGTGGCTTAGTTTGTAGCACGAGTAGCCACATAGGTATTGCTCATTTCTCCAGTAAAACATATGTCATTTTATGGCTTTGGTTATTACCTCTTCCTTAGATTCTTCTCACTCCAGAATTTATGTTTGTCTTACAGTATCTTCTGGTCCTGTCCTGTCTGAAGGACAGGACAACAACTCTGTTTTCTGAAACATGGGTGACACAACTATGGTGAAATGACATCATTTTAACAGAGCTAGACAATGTTGAATTGTGAATGCAAAAATTGTGAGTGCTATTTATTTATACAGAAACCTCTCAACTTAAGTCAGTCAACTGTAGTTGTTCATACTTTGTAAGAATGTTTTACAAAAATAAAACTGTTTTAGAGTTTTGTTTCATGTGAAGAATTTAAAAGCCAAGATAGTCTATTTCTTGCCTGGAGTGCTATACTAAAAAGGGGAGCTGAAATAATTTCTTACTAATACTCATAAATACAGAACCTTCAAAAATTCTGTTTTCAGTAATGTTGCATTTCAATGTGGAATCTGGCAGCTCTTGATTTGAGTCTAATTAAATGTTATTTTCCAGTATTTTTAACCTATATAATTGAAAGCCAGTTTTTTTTTCAGATTACCTAGGTGCATATATATATATATATATATATATATATATCTCCTAGGTGCATATATATATATATCTATATATCTATATCTATATATATATCTATCTATCTCCTAGGTGCATATATATATGCCTTCTCATTCATGGCCTAAATTCTAGTAAAGGGTTTAGGCCTTCTCATTCATGGCCTAAATTCTAGTAAAGCGTTCATTAGAAGAACATAGATAAAAAAAGCAAATGTAAATAAAGTAATTAGAAGAAATTGGCTCTCAGAAATCTCAGAACCTGGACCCACACATACTAGTATTTCAGTATCATATCGGGCATCAATAACCTCTAAATAACCCCAAACACATTTTTACTCAAACATTTTTTAAACCACTTAAAATGTTATGGTGGGTTTTTACTGTAACAACCTTACTACTGGGTGAATACTGAAGATCAAATATGTTAATTCATCATTCTTAGCCACAGATTGACAAACTATAGCCTGTTGGCCAAATTTGGCCAGCTCATTTATTTAAATATTGTCCATCGCCTGCTTTTACACCACAACAGTAGAGTTGAATACTGTAGTTGCAGTAGAGACTTTGTGTCTCGCAAATCCTGAAATACTCTCAGGTCCTTTACAGAGGAAAAAGAAATGTTAACCATGAATCTAGGCTCCCATATGCAGCGAGGAGGAGGTAGAAAGAAAGGAAAGGAAGGAAAGAAAGAAAGGAAAGGAAAGGAAGGAAGGGAAGGGAAGGAAAGGAGGGAAGGAGGGAGGGAGGGGAGAAAAGGAAAGGAAAGAAAAGAAAAAAGAAAAGAAAAAGACAACTGCTTATATGTTTCATATCTAGCAAATTTAATACAGAATTAAATCTGCCCAACTGGTTTAATTCCAATGTAATGTATTTCTGATAAATGAGTCAATGGTAAATCTCATATTCACTGGATCAAACTAGCTCAAAACCAAACATATACTGTCACCAGGCCACTATCTTTGAAATCAACTAGTGACAAAGGAGTAAGTGTACTTTCTTAGTCTCCTGATTAAAAACTTATTGATAGGTTCTAGTGTCAGGAAGGAATAAGTGCACTCCATTCTATCCTTCCCATTGATGAAAGGTAGAAGAAAAGGAAGGCAAAATTCATAAAGCAACTGTAAGAGGCCTCTAAAAGAAGAGTAGGTGAACTGGGTAGAGATAATCAAAACTCAAAGAATGTCCATACTTTGGAGAATTATTTTACTTTAATTTGTTCTATTTGCTTGTTTGTTTTGACTTCCATATCTTCTTAGTCATATATATCTCTTGGATTTTGAAAAACCACAGACAAAAAAAAAAAATGCTGGTTGGAGGACTTGGAAGGGAGTTCATTAGAGAATAGAGCTCTTTGAACCTTCCCTGTCTGCCCCTAATGAAGCTGCAGCCCTGTAGCAGGCAAAAGTGGTGGCAACAACAAGAGTGGGGGATATGGTGGTAACAGTGAAGGTTCCCTCAGGGTCTCTTCTCCTGCCAATCTGTACTCAGGAGGAGCAGTTTTGGGAATGGCACAACAAGCTCAGAAGTTGAAGGCTCTTTTTAGGAGAGCACTAGAAACGGGCCTGGTGAACATGATATGCTTACATTCATTCTTGAGAGCCAGAATAAATAGGCACAGTTTTTTTCAAGAAACGTGGCATAATATGTTAAGGGCCATGCAAATGTTCTCATTCATTGATATAATAATTAATTTATGGGAATTTGACTTAAGGAAAAAATCCAAATAATTTAAAAAGCAAGTACAAAGTAAAAGATATTTATTGGAGCCTTATTACATAAATGAAATAGTTTCATCACATAATCAAATGAATTATGTTAAAAACAAAGATGTTAACTCAAATTGTGTTCAACCATTCATGGGATCATTAGGGAAAGTAAAGAAGAAATTAAAATGCATATAAAATAGTACTACGTGAAAAAATGCTTTCAAGTTGGATTTGAGATATTCATGAAATACTTGAACAATGAAAAAGGTTTTTTCTTTAGATTTTATACTATTAATGATGTGGTGTTTTAAAACTTCATAATAATTTAGTTTGTACTTGGAGTATAGAAATTAGTTTGAAAAATGAAGCATGTTTGTAATCCTAAATTGTATATTGAAAGAGGTATTTTAGCATCAGAGATGTTTGTAAACTGAAACAAAATAACGTAAGTAGATGTGCGACGATGGCAAACATTTTGGAATATGTATCAAAGTTCTTAATGTTTTTTCATAAATAAGAATTTGGAAAATATCTTCCAAGAAAACTAACAAAGTGTATCTTTCAGCTTTCTATTCCAGAAATAATTAACTAACACTTTTTTTCTGTTCTTTTTAATTTGTCTGAAAAGCTACCTTGTTATAAAGCAGGCTGGAAAGGTTGTTGGGCTAAAAATAATCAAATGGTCCATACTTCTAAAATCTCTGGTCTATGATTTTTTTTAATTTCACAGAGCTTTGCACTTACATCTCTGGATGGGGATGGAAGTGGAAGTGAGTGACAAGAGCACAGCATGTCAGTTCCAGTCATGTTCTTCACTTCTGATGGATAGAGTGAACTGAGACATTTAAGATACTAACAGTCCTGGAACTCAATTCACTTCGTTAAATATCGACTGCCTGCTATGAACCAAGCATTGACCACATTCTTTGAATTCAGAGAAGTGATAAACCTTATGGTTGCCCTCTGGAAGAGACAGGCACAATACAAATAATACAATGTGATAAGTGCTTATAAAACAAGAATATATTAAATGATATGTAAACACAAGTGACATAATAGCCAACTCTTCCTGGGCTTCGGGGCAGGTCAGACGACAGCAACCAAGTGATATTGAGTTTATCCTTGAAACTCTGGGCAAAGAAAATCAAGATGAAGAGACTAGAACCATGAAAAACTTTGTGTTATTTAGAATAGAACACATAATATTTCAGATGCTCTTGGAACTACTCAGATTAGAGGCAATATAGGTCCAAATCAAGCCAATGGAGATAGATGTGAAAAGACAGATCTTGGAATTATTTGGGAGTTAGAACCTACCAAATCTGGTGACTAAATAAGAGAAGCAAGGATGACTTCTAATTTCCTGGTTTGGAGTATTGGTCAAAATTGATAGCATTAGTTTACATCTTGCAAATTTTAACTCTACTGTTGAATTGATGACAAATTTCCACACAACACTGTATTTAGTGCCATATTTAATTTCATCTTGATGAAATGGCTAGTCTTTAAGCTCCTAAAAGATATAGAAATCTATTTCCCACATTAAAAATATTCAATAAATACCAGTTGTTCATCATTGATTTGCCTCAAAATATAGGTGTATATGCAGATAATTACTGGTGAACTTGTGTTAGTCTTACTAAATATCTGAATTATACAAAAATTCTGCAACTAAAAAAACCCATTCTGTCAGAAAGATGCTATGAAATATGTTTATATACCAATGCTGTCTAATGTGCCCAGAGTACAAAGCTTGATTTTGAGGACCTGTAGTTTGTCTCATAGTGACTCATGTACAAATGCAAAGCTATAGGCAATCACATTCAATACTAATCAGTCACACAATCTTTGCATAATGGTATTAAAGCCAACAAACTCAGTAATTTTTTGAGCTCTAGTGAAAGTCATTGAAAGTCTGAAAACTAGATAAATGAGTAAGGCAGAAATAAAGAAGTTCTTTGCCGCTTTGGGAGGCCAAGGCGGGTGGATCACTTGAGGTCAGGAGTTCGACCAGCCTGGCCAACATGGTGAAACCCCATCTCTACTAAAAATACATAAATTATCTGGGCATGGTGGTGTGCACCTGTAATCCCAGCTGTTCAGGAGGCTGAGGCAGGAGAGTTGCCGGAACCTGGGAGGCAGAGGTTGCAGTGAGCCAAGATCACACCACTGCACTCCAGCCTGGGCAAAAAAGAGAGACTCTGGCTAAAAACAAAAGAAAACAACAACAACAAAAAAAACTTTACAACTGAGAACAAAGATACAATGTACCAGAATATCTGGGACACAGCTAAAGCAGTGTTAAGGGGGAAATTTATAGCATTAAATGCCCACATCAAAACGCTGGAAAAGATCTCAAAAAAAAAGTTAGAAAGGTTTCAAATCGACACCCTATCATCACAACCAAAAGAACTAGAGAACTAAGAGCAAACAAACCCAAAAAGCTAGCCGAAGACAAATAACCAAAATCAGAGCTGAAATGAAGGAGATAGAGACAAAAAACCCTTCAAAAATTAATGAATCCAGGAACTATTTTTTTTGGAAAAGAAATAAGATCACTATCTAATAATAGAATAATAAAAAGATTCATATAAACACAATCAGAAATGGTAAGGGGGATATTACAATACAAACAACCAACAGAGAATACCATATGCAGCTCTCTGCATTTAAACTAGAAAATCTAGAAGAAATGGATAAATTCTTAGACACATACACCCTCCCAAGACTGAACCAAGAAGAAACTGAATCCCTGACTAGACCAATAACAAGCTCTGAAATTGAGGCAATATTAAATAGCCTATTAACCAAAAAAAAAAAAGAAGCCCAGGACCAGATGGATTCATAGCTGAATTCTAACAGAGCTACAAAGAAGAGCTAGTACCATTTCTACTGAAACTATCCAAAAAAACTACAGAAGGAGGGACTCCTCTCTAACTCATTTTATGAGGCCAGCATCATTCTGATACCAAAACCTGGCAGAAATACAACAACAACAAAAATGTTAGGCCAATATTGTTGATGAATATTGATGCAAAAATCCTCAGCAAGATACTGGCAAATTGAATCCAAGAGCACCTCAAAAAGCTTATCCACTGCAATCAAGTAGGCTTCATCCCGGTGATGCAAGGTTGGTTCAACATACACAAATCATTACATGTGATTCCTCACATAAACAGAACTAAAGACAACAACAACATGATTACCCAATAGATGCAGAAAAGGCCTTCAATAGAATTCAACATTCCTTCATGTTAAAGGCCCTCAATAAACTAGGTATTGAAGGAACATACTTCAGAATAATAAGAGTCGTATATGACAAACCCACAGCCAATGTCATACTGAATGGGCAAAAGCTGGAAGCATTCCCCCTTGAAAACTCACACAAGACAAGGATTCCCACTCTCACCATTACTATTCAACATAGTATTAAATTTCTGGCTATGGCAATCAGGCAAGAGAAAGAAATAAAAGATATTCAAATAGGAAGAGAGGAAGTCAAACCATCTTTGTTTGTTATACTGTATCTATAAAACCCTATAGTCTCAGACCCAAAGCATCTTAAACTGATAAGCAACGTCAGTGAAGTTTCAGAATACAATTAATGTGAAAAAATCGCTAGCATTCCTATACACCCACAACAGGCAAGCCGAGAGCCAAATCATGAATGAACTCTCATTCACAATTGCCACAAAAAGCATAAAATACCTAGAAATACAACTAATAAGGAAAGTGAAGGACCTCTTCATGAAGAATTACAAACCACTCTTCATTGAAATCAGAGATGACACAAAACAGGTAGAAAAACATCCCATGCTCATGGATAGGAAGAATCAATATTAAAATGGCCATACTGCCCAAAGCAATTTATAGATCAATACTATTCCCATTAAATTACCATTGACATTCCCACAGGATTAGAAAAAACTATTTTAAAATTCATATGGAACCAAAAACAGCCCTGATATGGTTTGGCTGTGTTCCTACCCAAGTCTCATCTTGAATTGTAGCTCCCATAATTCGCACATGTTGTGGCAGGGGTCCGGTGGGAGATAATTGAATCATGGGGGTGGTTTCCTCCATACTGTTCTCAGGATAGTGATGAAGTCTCACCAGATCTGATGATTTTATAAGGGGAAACCTCTTTCACTTGGTTGTCATTCTGTCTTGACTGCTGCCATGTAAGACGTGCCTTTTGCCTTCTGCCATGATTGTGAGGCCTCTCCAGTCACATAGAACTGTGAGTCCATTAAACCTCTTTTTCCTTGTAAATTACCTAATCTTAGATATGTATTAATCCTCAGCATGAAAATGGACTAATAGAAGCCCAAATAGCCAAGACAATCTTGAGCAAAAATAACACAGCTGGAGGCATCATGCTACCTGACTTCAAACTATGCTATAAGGATATAGTAACCAAAACAACATGGTACTGGTACAAAAACAGACACATAGACCAGTGGAACAGAATAGAGAACTCAGAAATAAGACCACACACTTACAACCATCTGATCTTCAACAAATCTAACAAAAACAAGCAATGGGGAAAGGATTTCCTATTTAATAAATGGTGCTGGGAGAACTGGCTAGCCATATGCAGAAAATTGAAACTGCACCAGTTCCTTACACCTTATACAAAAATTAACCCAAGATGGATTAAAGACTTAAGTGTAAAACCCAAAACTGTCAAAACCCTAGAAGAAACTCTAGGCAATGTCACTCTGGGCATAGGCACAGGCGAAGATTTGATGACTAAAACACCAAAAGGAACTGCAACAGAAGCAAAAATTGACAAATGGGCTCTAAGGAGCTTCTGCACAGCAAATGAAACTATCACCAGAGTGAACAGACAACCTACAGAGTGGGAGAAAATTTTTGCAATCTATCTGATAAAGGTCTAATATCCAGTCTATAAGGAACTTAAGCAAATTTACAAGTAACAGACAACCACATTAAAAAGTGGGCAAAGGGCATGAACTGACACTTCTCCAAAGAAGATATACATGTGGCCAAGAATCATGAAAAAAGCTCAACATTACTGATCATTAGAGAAATGCAAATAAAAATCACAATGAGATATTATCAAATGCCAATCAGAATGGCTGCTATGAAAAATAAAAAAAATAAAAGATGCTGGTGATGTTGTGGAGAAAAGGAAATGCTTTTACATAGTTGGTCAGAGTACAAATTGGTTCAACCATCTTGGAAGACAGTGTGGTCATTCCTCAAAGATCTAGAAGCAGAAATACCATTTGATCCAGCAATCCCATTACTGGGTATATACCCAAAGACATATAAATGATTTTATTACAAAGATACATGCACACACATGTTCATTGCAGCTCTACTCACAATAGCAAACACATGGAATCAACCCAAATGCCCAGCACTGATAAACTGGTTAAAGAAAATGTGGTACATATACACCATGGAAAACTATGCAGCCATAAAAAGGAAAAAGATCATGGTCTTTGCAGAGACATGGATGGAGCTGGAAGCTGTAATCCTCCAAACCAAGGAACAGAAAACCAAACATCGCATGTTCTCACTTGTAAGTGGGAACTGAATGATGAGAACACATGGATACATGGGGGAAACAGCACACACTGGGGCATGTTGGGGGTGGGGGGTGGGAGAGCATCGGGAAGAATAGCTAATGGATGCTGGGATTAATACATGGGTGCTGGGATAATTTGCGCAGCAAACCACCATGGCACACATTTACCTATGTAAGAAACCTGCACCTCCTGCCCATGTATCCTGGAACTTAAAATTTGAGAGAAAAGATACGAGCAACCTGTGCATTGAAAATTACAAAACTGCTGAGAGTAAATCCTAAATAGAAATCCACTGTGGTCATGATTGTGATGACTCAAAATTATTAAGATGTCAACTATCTCCAGATTGATTTGGAAATTCAGGGCACTACCAGTCAAACTTCCAGTGGACATTTTGGACATTGACAAGCTTATTCTAAAATGTAAAAAAAAATTAAGAAAATACCAAAACTAAATAGCCAACACAGCTATGGGTTTTGTTTTGATAGCTAAATCTCTGTTGAACAGTATATGTCAGTACAGTTGTATAGGTAGTGCTGGGTGCACAGACCTATATAAAACCTTATTCCTCACCTCAAACTGCTTACAAACCTATCTGGGCATATGACACAAACAATATATAGTGGAGAGATTCTGAAGAGGTTTTGGAGTCAGAAGAAAATGTTCTAAATTCGCAGCTTTTCTCCACATTCACTTTCATGAGCAACGTCTGGCACATGATACCCCACAGTGTCATTTCCAGCTGCCCTTCTCCTGAGTGACTTTCTCAGTTCTACAACCATGAAAACAGACTATGATAAAATGTTTAATGACAGGTGCTGTTGGTATTCCAAGGAAGAAGCAATAACTTATCCCTGAAAGAAGGGTAGGGGCCCTTTCTTACAGGAGACCTATAGCTTTCCAAAGGGGCATGAAACAGGGATGTGTGTCTTAGGTCCTTAGGTCTATGTCAGCGAAGGTCTTTCTCCCCTTAATAGAAAAGACAAACCAATAACTTCCTAACCTAGTACCTGATGTAAGCCTTGATGGACTTAAACTAATTTTCATCTTGCCATCACAACCTGAAGTCTGTCTCTGGCCACCTAAGGTATTTGTTTGATGTGAAATCCAACATAAAAGTGATATGGCTTGAAACTGATAATGAGGCTCTGGGATTATATTTCTCTCTTTTTTGAGTTTATCAAGGTTGTTTGCTTTTAATGAGTTCTAAAAATTGCATGAATAGAGATTATATTGGTGAATAAAAATTAAGGTACGTTTTAAACCTAGATATAAAAGGTCTTAAGGGATAGTTCTATTAAATCAGACGGTTTGGATATATTCTGATACACGTTTCTAGGATAATTATTTGTGATTAAGAAGAATACTATTCTTTATCCAAAATCAGTTTTTTTGGTAGTTGATGTAAGTGTTTATAAATACAGGTAGAACCAAGGGCATTTTCACACGGCATGGAATAGATTTTTATTTTTCAAACTTGAGAGCAGAGTGAAGTTTGCTAGTGAAACTGCTTTGGTAAATACCATCAGTTCTGATGACAGATTATTTTCAATAATCCCAGGCAATTTTGTTCCACTGCTGTTATGTTACGTGATAGCAAATTAAAATGATAAAATGTCTTTATCTCTTTCCCGCAGCTGTTTTAGCAATCCTATAAAATGAGTTTATACTGTCAGCTGTAGCTGTCTAGAAATATATAAATACAGGTGTCATTGTTCCTTAAGTATTCCACTAGTCAGCATACTGTGTAGACAATCTAAGGGTCCATTTCTAAAGAAAATGTTTCTGTGTCTGTTTTTTCAATTATTTAAAAAGATACAGTCATTGCTTTGCCTGGTGTCAGGGTCATTTCACCACATATATTATGGTAAATTACTATAATAGGAGCACTTGGCATGTCTAATCAGAGTTAAAAGGAAAAACTTATTGGATAGAAATAATTTTAAAAAATCATTCTTTCTCCTCTCTAGTGTGTATACCCTTACTGCCATCAGGGGAGCTTATTAACCTTTCTCCCTTTGTAAATGTTTCCAGAAAGCAGAAGTGAATTGAAGAAGCTGTGCAGCTAAACAAGCTTTCTCTCATTCTACTGAAGTTAAATGTTTCTTTCTTAGACAATTTAAATGGGAGCATTTAAATATAAATTTGGATTTAGTTTTCTTCTCCTCAATACACTTGTATGTGCAGTTTATTTTCATTTATGTATGTGTTCTTTTATGCTTAGGAGCTTTATATCCTTTTCTGAGATCTTTTGTACTAAACTGGTGGTTTCATTTTTAAAAAATGAATTTTGATTGAATTCTTACTTGAAGTACAAGTAGCATTGAGCCTACCAGGAATCAATTTCATAGATCCACTGAAGGTCTACCATCTCTCCTTGGTCACTTTGTAGACACAGCTCTTTTTCTACAAACTATACTCCAGCATTTTCAATATTCACTTTTTTATGGGTAAGATTCTTGGAACACGTTCATCTTAATTGCATCTTTGCCAGTTACATAGCATTGTTGTACATTCTGGTTGAGTGTTCCATCTTATTTCTTACCACTCTCCTCTAAGTATCTTAGTTGATATTAGACAATTATTTGTAAATATATTCAATATATTCAATATGCTTGTGTGTAAAATGGTATTGTTATCCATCCAATTTGGAGTATGTACATAGATTCTGACTAGGCTACTTTTGAAAAGGGAGTCAGTGTGAGATTGCATTCAGTTAACTTGCCTGCAGGCTTCCAAAGGAGATGAAGCAAATGAAATGATGCCTTCACAAAAAGGTAGATATATGTTCTGCACAACCAGGACATGAAACTGGAGCCATTAACCCCAACTGATATTAAAGTATTGGTCTTACAACCAAACAAAAAGGTCTCAGTTTGAGGCCCTGGTAGCCATATGTAATGATCTGTTTGGCTGGTGGTCTCTTAATTCTTCTAACCTGTTTCCTTATCTGTACAGTGAGAAAAAATAGAATACTGTCATGAATACATTGTAAAAATTAAATAATATACAAAAACATTTAGCAAAGTAGATGATCTATAGTATATACTTCAAAAAAGTAAGTTTTTTCTACAGATATCATTAATACCTCTACTGCCATTATTGTTATAATGATGAAAAACTTACCTTTGATTGTCATTCATTTTTCCTTTTACTTTTTCTTCCATTTGTGATGCTGAGCCACAACTTGAGATTTAAAATCATCAAAAACATACTCACCTATAAGAAGGAAAGCAGGTAGTTTTATGTCTAATATAAATGTACTTATGATGATGCCAAAAGAAATACTCATCACTTCAGTGTCACAAGAATATACCAGAGTAATCAAATATTTTATGATACAAATACAAATTATTCAGGCCTGGGACCACTTTTCCAAGAAGTGTATTGGCCCTTGATGTTGCCAAACAAACTGTGTACTATAGTAGGACAATAATCCATGATTGAGTGATTCTAAGCGTTCCACGTAAGGAAAGTTTTTGGAACATAATGAAAGCCTGAAGTAACAGCTCCTCTCTCTCCTTTTCCTTCTGAATCTATTCTAGGAAGTGACTCTGGGCAGAATTAGAACTTTTCTGAGATGTCTACAAAATGTCAAAGATAAATCGTCTTTATTGCCCTCAATGGGCATTTATTCATCTACTTGCTCATTTATTCATTCATAAACTCATTTCGTGGGTTTATATTAAGTGCACAGCATTTTGCTGGACTTTGAGGATATTCTGATAGTGTGGCAACTCAGGCTTTTCCTTTATGGAGCTTACACACTGGTAGAGAAGATAGACATTGAACTTTTAATGAAAGTGTAAGGAGTGAAATGAAAGGACAAGCAGAAGATACAATAGATGCATGTAGAAGGGGAAATTTAACTTGACAGCAGTAGAAAAGGAAATCAAAGGTATATTGTGGAATAATTATATAAGTAGGGTAAGTGGACTCAAATGGAGGGTGAGTTTTAGGCATCGTGATAATTTTATAAAAAGGACGAGTTTAATTTGTAAATAAGCAAACAAAGCTCATCATATTGCTGAAAAAAATGTCAGAAAAACAGTGTAATAAAAGTTTTTACCAATAGGATGTAATTTATATGGTAGCTGGTGGAAAGCCACAAGGTGGTTTGAGTGACATTAGTACAAACACAGCTTACGTTTTAAAATGTTCTGTTAGTCCGTCAAACAGTATATGGATTTTTGATGGGGAGAAGTCAGAAAGAGGACAGCTTACTTAGGAATTAACTAATGACAGATCAGGTAAAGATGCTGCCAGCTGAAGTCAGGGCCCTGAAACATGGACTTCATTGGTTCAGAGATTTGGTTATTCAGCAATTATGGGTTATTTGACATAAGCATGGAGACGTATATTTCAAATTATGTCTTCTATTTTCAGTAATATTCAATGATTCTTAGACGTGGTCTTTTGTTCCTAGACATGTACATGAGCCATCTTAAATATTCCAGACTAGTGGAGACTAGTGCAACCAATGTCTGGTTGCATTAGGACCTAGATTAATTTTCTGACCTTTACAACTGCAAGGTCTCTGCAGAAAGTAAGTCAGGGAGCATCATGCGCTATAGAGGAGCATAGACTGCTGGGAACACCACTCCTCGAGCTTGGCTGCACATTGGAAGCACCTGTGATGTCTGAGTCTCACTCAAGAGGATTTAATTGATTAGGTATGGGATTCAGCTTGGATACAAGGATTTTCTTGAAATCCCAGATAACTGTAACGTGACAAAATTTGAGAACTACTGGATGAGAGTGTATTCTTGTCTAAACAGAGTAACGCCAGCGCAAAGGACAAGTTACTCCTTCCTCTCTCTCTTCGCTTCTTCCCCTTCCGTCTCTCCTTCTCTTTTTCCTTCCCTTTCTTTCCTCCTTCCTATAAAGATTTAGCATTTATTGAGCACCTATCAGGTGCCAGGAAATGTGCTAGGTAGTAAGAATACAAGGCAAACAAGATAGTCCCTAACCAGATGTTTACAGTGTAATTAAGTTTAAATTCTGGCTTCAGTCTTTGATTCTGTCCTCACCTGTCCATATATATTGCTCATTAAGCTGGGCCCTAGCCACAAGACCCTCTCAGTCCTCGGAGTACCATGTTCTGTGATACTGTGATGGCTTTTCACAGGAGGTTGTTTCTCCCATGTCAATTACCTCCTACTACTGCTTGATCTCAGTTTAATCCTCACAGCCTTTAATATAGGAGTTAAAAAAATTATTTAGGCAGATAGGGTACAGGAATCCTCAGTAAGGTTTTTCTTTTATTAAAAAGCAGCCCCCAAATTATTTCTTTTATAACAGAAAGCAGCCTGAAAAATCAAGCTGCAAGCATAGATAAGCAAGCTGGTAACTTGCATAGATGAATGTTGGCAGCTATACCAGAAGCCAGGTATATCCAACATGGAAGTTTTCTCTTCCCTTCTTCTCTTCCGCCACGTGTGCGAGTGTCATGGCACCTGCCAAGTGGAAACCCCATCTGCATAATAAAAGATTAGGGTGGGATGGCCAGCCTCTTCGTGGGCTATGTAAATGGCACACCTGGTGAAACCAATCCACTACACCCAGTGTAAATCAGACACCGTCTCCTCAAGCTCCTCTAGAAAATCAACTGCATCTCACCCCGAACCTGAAAACCCACTTGGGCGCCCCCTTCCTCTGCATGAGGAAGCTCTCTCTTCTTTCTTTTTCCTGTTAAACTTTCTGCTCTTAAAACCCACTCGGTGTATGTCCATGTCTTTGTTTTCCTTAGCGCAAGACAAAAAACCTTGGGTATTTCTCCACACAAATGATGCGGCTTCACCTTGACTTTCCTGCCTGGGTCCAATCTCCTTTTATTATACCATGCACTTTAGTTACAAACATCATGGATGTATTTTATTCTCTTGTATTTTATGTTTATTTTCCAATAAGGCAGAAATCAACAGCAAGGAGCCTGCCATTGGGGTCTTTAATAAATGCTTAATAAAATAATTATTGAATAGGTGAAATAATTACACATGAGTGAATATGAGTCTGTCCTTCTTACTTTTTGTTTTATAACCGACTACCCTAAAACCTAGTGGTTTAAAGCAGTAACCATTTTATGACTTCTTATGATTCTGAATGTTAACTGAGCTCACCTGAGTGTTTCTTCTATTCCATGTGATATGAACTGGGAATACAGCCATCAGGGGTCTCCACTAGTGTGGAATATTTAAGATGGCTCATGTACATGTCTGGTGCCTTGGGAGGGGAAGAGAGGAAGACCAGTTTGGTTGGCATAGCAGGGCTGTTCAGGCCTCTCTTCCTATGTAGTCTCAAGTTCTTTCTCTTTCCACGTGGCCTCTGCACCTAGTTTCTCTCCAGCAGGTTTCTTAAAGCATCTCAGGGTTTCCAACACAAACATTCCAAGAAAGGAAGTGAAAGCTGCCAGGTTTCTTAAAGTTGGGGTGGAAAGCCAGTACATGTCACCAATATTTTATTGGCCAAAGCAGTCACAGGCCCATTCCAAAATCGGTGAGAAAAAAAGCAAAAATAAAAATACAGACCTCCCCTCCTTATGGAAGAGTCATAAAGAAGTGGAGAGCATTTTTAATTCACAGAATATCAGTCTAATATTTGCCACATTTCTCTGTTTTTATTTTCTTTAGGTGCTCATGGGGTCTTTTTATTGCGGTGAGAACACTTAACATGAAATCTACCCTTTTACCAGATTTTTAAGTGTACAATATATCGTTAACTATAGGCACAATGTTGTAGAGTGGGTTTCCATTACTTATTTATCTTTTATAACTGAAACTTTATATAGTTGATTAGCAACTCCTCATGTTCTTCTTCCTCCAGCCCTTGGTATCCAACCTTTCTACTTTCTGCTTCTATGAGTTTGACTATTTTAGATACCTCATATAGTGGAATCATGCAGTATTTGTTCTTCCGTATCTAGCTTATTTCACTTAGCATAATGTCCTCCAGATTCATTCATGATATTGCATATTGTAGAATGTGTTTCTTTTTTAAGGCTGAATAATACTCAATTGTATGTACATACCATGTATTCTTTATCCATTAATCTGTTGATGAACATTTATGTTGTTTTCACATCTTGGTTATTGTTAATAATTCTAATTCTACAATGAACATGGGGGTGTATTTATTCCTTTGAGATCCTGATTTCAGTTATTTTGTATATAGACTCAGAAATTGGATGGCTAGATCATATGGTCATTCTATTTTTTTTTTTTTTTGAGGAGCCTCTGTAGTGTTTTCCATAACAGCTTTACCATTTTGCATTCCCACAAACACTGTACAGGGGTTTCAGTTTCTCCACATCCTTGCCAACATGTGGCAAAAGAAACAATCAATAGGGTGAAAAGGCAGTTCACAGAATGGGACAAAAATTTGGCAAACCGTATATCTGATAAGTTAGTTTCAAAAATATATAAGGAACTCCTACTAACCAATGTCCAAAAATGCAATAACCTGATTAAAAAATGAACTAGGGATTTAAATATACATTTCTCTAAAGAAGACATTATAAATGGCCAACAGGTATATACAAAGATGCTCAATGTCACTAATCATTAGGGAAATGCAATTCAAAACCACAATGAGATAGCACCTTGCACCTGTTAGAATGGCTGTTATCACATACACAAAGGGCAAGTGTTAGCAAGGATGTGGAGAAATTAGAACTCTCTATTTTCATTAAAACAACCCAAATCTGACTCAGAGTTCCCATTTTTCCAGGCTGCTGGAAATGTTAACATCAGCCTTTCTTGAAGATCCCCCTACCAGAGTTTAGTGCAGCGCTAAGGTACTGAGGGTGCTGTGTGATCAGCAGCCAAGCAGTCCTCACTGTTCAAAGAGAACACCCATTATAGCAACAACCCTGGTCCCTTTGGGGGAAACTGTTTTACAGCCTGTGTGCCATGGAGTATGGCATACTATGTATCAGTGAAAATGCTTGTGCCTGGAGTTTGCTTTCCTCAAAATTACTCTATTTTGAGGTTTATCTGTTTTGTTGTTTTTCCTAAAACAGAAGGATTTATTTCTGCCTTGTGATAGGAAGAATGGACATCTCTAACTTCTCACCAAAAAAATTATCACCTCTTCTTTGATTTGTTTTAGGACCGGGACTAGTTTTTTTTGTCTTGTCATAGGGCTCCTTTGCCTAGTTTAGTCTCCTCCGTTTTTTGCCCCTCTGTTTAACTTTTTATTTGATATAATTTCAGAAAATTTTCAAGATTAGTACAAAGAATTCCCAAACTCCTTTCATTAAATTTCTCTAAATGTTATGATTTTCTCTGTCACTATCTCTGTTTCTATCTTTATATCTCTGTGTTATACAATTCACATCACTTTATGTGGAATAGTTCATGTCTCTATGTGGTACAGTTCAGTGTGTACTTCCAAAAGACAAGAATGTTCCCTTACATAACCACACTATAATAATTAAAACGGACCGGGCACGGTGGCTCACGCCTGTAATTGCTGCACTTTGGGAGGCCAAGGTGGATGGATCACCTGAGGTACGCAGTTCAAGACCAGCCTGACCAACATGAAGAAACCCCGTTTCTACTAAAAAAAAAAAAAAAAAATCAGCTGGGTGTGGTGGCCCATGCCTATAATCACAGCTACTCAGGAGGCTGAGGCAGGAAAATCGCTTGAACCTAGGAGGCAGAGGTTGCAGCGAACCAAGATCGCGCCATTGCACTCTAGCCTGGACAACAAGAGCAAAACTATCAAAAAAAAAAAAAAAAAATTAAAACTGGGAAATTCACTGATACATATTCAGAGTTTTTCAGTTGTCCCAATATTATCCTTTACACTGAAGGAAGTTTCCAAATCATGCATTGCATTCAGGTATCCTGTCTCTTTAGTCCTTTTATTCCGGAACAGCTCTTCAGTATTTCTGTGTCTTTAATGGTATTTACATATTTGGGGAGTACTGGCTTAATCTTTTGTAAAATGACTGTTAATTTAGGTTTGTCTGATGTTTCCTCATTATTGAATTCCTGTTAGTCAGTATTGATGGGAATACCCACAGAAGCACTGTGCTCTTGGTTTATCGAATCCAGAAGAATTATTGATGTTATCTCTGATCAATTGGGGTTTCTGCATTGTAAAGTTATTTTATTTTGTAATTAATAAATATATAATTAATATTTTGAGACCAGATAACTATTCTATTCCTCATTGTACTTTTACTTTATAACATCTGTTGATATTTTTGCCCTGAATCAGTTTTTATCATTATGTTTGCCAAATGTTGATTCCTCTTTGTCTTTCAGTACAACCGTGCCAGTTTATATTGTTGGGATGTGAGCCAGATACTGAGAATTATGTCTAAGTAGAGCATGTTAGGTTGACTCTAGCAAATAAACAGGAAAAGGAAAAGTAGGCCCGAGAGACGTTTTTCTGAGCCCCAAATGAACACCTCATTTTCATGATTCCATTATAAACAGGGCTGATAGATTCTTATGTAAAATCCTGCCTTATGGTCTACATTTTTATCTGGTAGTTGTATATATGTATGCATATGTACATATAATTTTACAGTGCTTAATATTTTATACTTTACTATATGTAAATTTATACCTCAATAATTAGAGCCACAGGGCAAAAATAAATAAAGGTCTAACTTAGCTGCACAGTTACATAGTATTACATATGGCTTTAAACATTGCATAAAACTTTAAAAATCTATGCGGTATCCTGAATTAGAAGATATAGCTAACATAAAGATAATGTAATATTATGAAATCAGAACTGTGTCTCTATAGTGACATGTAGGGGGCACTTAACATTAAATTATTTTCAGATGACGAAATTAAAGCCAGTGTTTCTCAAAAGTCTTTTTCTGAAATAAAAAAAATATTTTTCTGAAAAGGATTATCTTTTCTTTATGTGATGTTTACAAGAGCAAATACTTTATGTATTCATATAAATATTCTTAAAATAAGGTAAATAAGAATTTACCTAAAATGAGGATTCACTCCTGGATTTCTTTAAGTTGGCATTACCCTTGACTTTACAATTCAACTTCGTTTACAAAATGGGAACAGTTTTAGTAACTTATTTGGTTATTTTGCATCTGCCTCTCCTTTGCCCATAAGTTCTCTGACCTGCTTCTGTGCCTTGAGGCTTATCCTACAGAAGCATCACCAGGACTGTTTGGACTCTGACTTCCACTTGAGTGTGGCCAATGGAAGAGCAGAACAAGAAGGACAGAGGATGAGTTAATTTTTCTTCTACCTCCCTCTAAAC
Source organism: Homo sapiens (assembly GCF_000001405.40). Classification (NCBI taxonomy): domain Eukaryota; kingdom Metazoa; phylum Chordata; class Mammalia; order Primates; family Hominidae; genus Homo; species Homo sapiens. The sequence continues at coordinate 31,646,486 of NC_000009.12, read as the reverse complement.
CTGGGCACATTGATTCTGGTCTATTTCTCTCTCTAATATTATAGCTCCTTCCAGGAACTTCTATGGCTGTAGCTCTCATCAAGTTTCTACTCTATCATTCTTTTATGATGAATGTCTAGGACATTTTTATTGATTTTCTTCTATTCAAGAACTTATGTTTATCTTAGAGAGAAAGAAATTGGTCAGAACAATATATAAGCATAAGAATTTTAAAGGCATCTTACATTCTATCCTAATGGCAGCATAATCAATAGGAACGAAGAGTTGTCTTGCTGCCTGCAATAGAGGGAGGGTATTTTTACAGACCAGCACATCTTGTGAAATATATAATATGAAGGAAGACAGCTTGGCTGGTCTTTGCTGTAGTCTCTGGATTTTCTGTGTTTTTGGACTGACATTCCCTGTATGGTATGGAGTCGTAACTTCTAATATGAGGATCCTCTGTTTTTGGGCCAGAGATTACTTCTCTTCTTCTAACTTATTGGTTATTTTCATATTTTCTTCAAAATGCCAACAAGTTGCACATAATCTATGCGGATGCAGTAGGCCCCCAAATTATCCCGCAGACTTGTCCTGTTCAGGGAGTCTGAGGCTGGAACGTGATTTCCACAGCTCCTTCACTCCCTTCCACTTTTACTTGTCCCAGTATTCTTCAATATTTCTTATTGCTTTCTTTTCTCAACACTTTTGTAACTAGTCTTCTCATTAAATTATCTTCAAAACCTCACCTTAGTTACTTGCATTTTCTCCCAAGACCCTGATGGATACAGTAACACAAGGATAGAATCAGAAAGCTGAATTTTCTATTAAATAGCTAATGAGTGATAACTGAAAGGAAACTGATCTGGGGAAAGTGTGGACCCACCTGTTTATATTGTTTTCATCCTGTGATGCCCTGGCTATAAAATGTCCAGTGAAATCCAGCAGGAGTTACTGTTTATCCTCCTGGAAGCTAGTGGATATATATTTTTTCTGTTCCATGCAAAAGAAGGTGCTGTGGCTCGGTGCGGTAGCTCACACATATAATACTGGCATGTTGAGATATCAAGGTGAGAGGATTCCTTGAGCCCAGGAGTTTGAGACCACCTTGGGCAATATAGCGAGACCCATCTCCACAAAAAATAAAAGATAAAAAAATTAGCCAGGGGTGGGGGTGTGTGCCTGTAGTCCCAGTTATTAGGAGACTGAGGCAGGAGGATTGCTTAAGCCTGGGAATTTGAGGCTGCAGTGAGCTATGATTGCACCACTGCGTTTCAGCCTAGGCGACAGAGTGAGACCCTATCTTTTTTTTTTTTTTAATAGAGACTAGCAGACAATACAGTCAGCATGGCTAAGGTGACCCCAAGAAACCCAAGGGCAAGATGTCTGCTTATGTCTTCTTTGTGCAAACGTGCAGAGAACATAAGAAAAACTCAGATCTCTGTCAATTTTGCAGTTTTCCAAGAAGTGCTCTGAGAAGTCGAAGACAATGTCTGGGGAAGAAAAGTTGAAATTATAACATGGCAAATGTGGATAAAGAATGCAATGATAGGGAAATGAAGGATTACAGACCAGCTAAGGGAGGCAAGAAGAAGGACCCTGATGCCCCCAAAAGGCCACTGTCTGAAGTTTTCCTGTTCTGTTCAGAATTCTGCCCCAAGATCAAATCCAGAAACCTTGACACCTCCACTGGAGATGTGGCAAAACAAACAAACAAAAAAGTTGGGTGAGATGCAGAATAACTTAGGTGACCGTGAAAAGCAGCCTGACATCACTAAGGCAGTGAAGCTGAAGTATAAGAAGGATGTTGCTGACTATAAGTCTAAAGGAAAGTTTGATGCTACAGAGGGACAGTCCCGCTAAAGTTGGAAACTTCCAACGTTTAGAAAACGTTGGAAGAGTCAGATGAAGAAGAGAAGAAGGATGAATTAAAAAAAAAAAAACTCTCCTTGTGAATACCTTAGAGTAAGGGAGCACTGTTACCAACACATCCCTTATTTGAGAAGTGTCTGTTACCCTCACTAGGTTTAATTATAAAATTTGATTACCATGGGAGGGGAACATCACACACCGGGGCCTGTCGGGGTGGGGGTCTGGGGGAGGGATAGTATTAGGAGAAATACCTAATGTAGATGATGGGTCGATGGGTCCAGCAAACCACCATGGGACAAGTGTACCTAGGTAACAAACCTGCACGTTCTGCTCATGTACCCCAGAGCTTAAAGTATAATTAAAAAAAAAAAATTTAAAAAAATTTTAAAAGGATTTGAGAGGTTTCCAGTTTGTGGCAATTCTGTATAAGTTGCTACAAACATCAGCATACAGGTTTTGTGTAGATACACATTTACACTTCTTTTGAACAAATACATAGGAGTGGGATTCCTGGGTTGTATGGTAAAAGAAAAAAAATTGATTACCATCATAGTGCAGTCTCTCAAAGTGCTCTGGAAATTATCAGTGGTTCACATGAAGTGGCCATGAGTGTCTGTAGCATCCTGAAACTGTATCAAAGTTGTAAGTATTTCCAAAAATTTTTTAAATGGAAAGGCACTCTTGTATGCCTCATACTCTGTGCACTTTGCTGCTGGTGGGACAAAGCATTTAAAGATGTTTCTGGCATTTTAATTTTTAAGGTGGTGTTAACTATGTGGTTATTGGCTAGAAATTCTGAGTTCTCAACTGTATATATCTGTAGTTTGGAAGAACAAAACAACAGAGACAAACTCTTAATGCTCCTTGCCTGGTGTTGAGGCTGTGAGGGAAGATAACTTTTGAAGGAGCTGTAGCTCAGGGTGTGCACCATCAGGTTGGACCTGTTGTCTCTGCAGTGGGCATCCATTTAGGTTCAGGTTGTCTCCTTTCTATGTATAGTGACATAGCATTCTGCTGCTATTCTTAGCTGTGGACAAAGGGGGTCAGTGAGATGAGAAGTATTTGTAGGTTTTTTTGTTTGTTTTTAGTTAAGTGTGGTAGTTTCTAAACTGCTTTTAAAAAATAACTGTCGAACTTTTTTTCCTTCTAGCTATTCTTCGAATGCATTCCCTTCTAATGCATTGTCAGCAAACCGAATTGCCACTGTATCAATGAAAGTTTAAGAACCTTCTGTAGTTAAACACGATTTGCAATGTTCCGTTTTTTTATGTTTAGAATGCTGAAATATTTTAAAAATAGTGTTACATTAAACAAAGCAGGTGATACTAATTCTATTACTCATGCACAACTATTTTTCAAATATTGTTGAGAGAAGAATTTAGGGAATGAAGCCCAGGTAGCATTTTAATACTTAAAAAAGAAATCTGCCACATGACTTTAAACTTGGTAAACTTCTCATACATAAGTCTATTTTCACTAAAATTCAAATAAAATAAAATGTTTCCAGAATATGTAGGTGGGTGTTTTTAGAGACAGATAGGAGAGGGAACAGGGCCCTTTAGAGATAATTTTCTCTGGATGAATGATTAAGCACTAGAATGACTATCATAGTCAAAGTCTAGCATCATTTGTTTTACTGATGCTGCTTCATTTAGGCAAAATGCTTCTTTATATCTTAGGCAATTAGGCAATGCATTAGAAGAATAGCTAGAAGGAAAAGAATAGATGAGAGTCATTTCAGTGAAGCTGGGGAGTGAACAGATATTTAACTTACTCTCAGATTCATTAGACTTAGAGTCTATTAGTATAAAATGCAGAACCAACGTCATGTAAATACATTTATTATACTTAAATAAATCAAGAAAGGATCACTTTCAAAAATGCCAGATGTTCTGTATTTCTCTGGTGGCAATATAAATCTGAAGTTTAGCTATACCAAACATATGTCAGAAATACACCCTTGTTTAAGAAAGTCAGAAACCTTTAAAACAAAAAGCACTTTGAATAGTGCATTCTAAGCAAAAGGATTGTTCATTCTATTTGAAACGAATTAATGCTCCAACAACAGTATGTATTAAGTATGTGTATTATGAACTAAATTTATAAAAACATGCAGAATGTTATCTACTATCCAGTGGATAATGTGCTAGTTTCCTAGGCTAATTTTTATATAAGTATGTATATTTATATCCAACATATTAAGGACTATTTGTTATATTTTATTTCTTAATGAAAATATGAACATTTATTTAAATTGTTAAATCTGGGTAACAGGTACATGAGTGTCCATTGTATTTTTTTCTGTACTTTAAAAACATTTCAAAATATACCATTAGAAACATTTTATGCTTTTAAAAAAGCATGAAAAGTAAAATCAGAGAGAAACAGAAGTTATACAAGGATAAACACCACAAACTCTGCATCTACAAAAACTGACAGACTATTTGACTGAAAGGGCAAAACAACTGCTACCTCTGAGTTCCCTGTAAGAGTGGAAAGCAATACCATTTGATGGGTCACAGATCACTGGGAAGGACCAAAATACAAGTGTAGGAAAAATTCTTGGACAATGAGAAAGTCGGTTCTTACAGGACTAAAGATGTCATGATTTTCTAATCATTCGCAAAAGACGTGAAGTCATCTTTTGAAATGGATTGGGCTAGAAAATATGAAGTGAGTGTGACTGGGATGGGAGGTTGGGAGGCAGAGAAGGACATGGAGCAGGAGAAGTGAAAAAGGCAAGCTAAAGGATTATCAAGTGGCATTTTCAGGACCTAGGTGAATTGAAATCCATTGACCTACTGTGGTACCAATTTATTTGCTTTCATATTTCCCTCCATAATTGTTTAAATAGAAAATATTTTAATATTGACCTGAAGTTCTGCAGAGTGAATGAAATAGGACAAGATGCAAGAAGCTGAGAGTGGAGGAGAGATAATAGCTGAAGTTGCCAACAACAGGGTTCAAGTGAGAAAAGAGGGAGATATCCAGAGGAATTGGGTGAAAATGGAGGTGTCATGGGACGGCAATCTCAGCACAGTGGAAAAAGTTGTGCAGTGTAGGAGAATGAAAGAGAAACTAGAAAGACAGATGGCTGATGTTTGAAGTTTAGAGCTTCGGAGGAGGAACAGTACCATATAATCACAAAAATCTGATATATGGACACAGAGTGGAGGCTGAAATGGAATAAGAATGAAGGTCATTGGCTTAAGAAATTTTTAAAAATAATGTTATTGAGATCTATTGGATCAACCCCACAGGCATTGAAATCTCCCAAGAATATGATGAGAGGGATGGATAAAGACTTGAACCCTCCTACAAAGCCCTTTATGAATATGGAGAAGAATGGAAAGATGTGTAAATTGATGAAGTTGAGGAGGGGTATAAATTGATGCTGCCAGAGGTCTAGAAAAAGTGATGAAAATCAAAGAAAATACTGCTACCTTTCTCCTGCCCTAGAAATAAGATGGTTGTAAATGATGTCCCTGGGACAGAATAGCTTTTAGTCTAGATTCAGAGATAAAATACCCATTGAATAAGAAGCTTAAAGATGCTTCTTGGTGGCAAGATAAGAGTCCAGAATGCACAAGGGAAGGGATCAAAAAGGACACCAGCTAGAGAAGATGAGTGGGGAGAAATGACTCGTAGTTTGCAGAGAAAAATGAGAGGACAGGTGATCAGGCTGTACATATTTGATGGCCAGAACTGAGTGCTCTAGATGGGATCAGTTGGTCTCATGTTCTGAAATGAGAAATAGACTTGTTTCCAAGCCTGCACAAATGAGACCCTGAGATCTTTCAGACTCTGAGTTAGCTAGATTCCAGTAATTGGATTGTAGCTCTCAGTAAATCTAGTGTAATAGGAAAAGTTACATTTCCTTGTGCCACATTTGTAGTTTTCTTTTTCTTCCATATGCATGCGTGATCTTTTTGATAAAATAAGTAAATAATCAATATCCTACAGCTAACATTAACCTTTCAGTTTTTCTTTCTTCTTACCTCTGGGCCTTCTCATATTCTGTCTATTACCTCTGTCTGGAATGGCCTGTGCTTCTACATCTAAGTCATTCCTATGCTGTCTTTTGAAGGCAGCTAAAATGACACTGTTGTAGAGACACCTTCTCTGATACTCTTCCAGAAAATGACACCAGCGATTCACCAAATTAGCTTAGATCTCATTGGGACACATTCTCTTTGCTGACTCTACCTTTCATTTCTAGGACATATAAGAATTCTATTCATGTAATTATTTTTTAAAATATTTATTTAATGTCTGTTTTCAAAGCTAGAACATAAGATTTAAGATCACAGGTATAGAGTCTACTTTGTTATGGAAACCAAAGGGGAAAAATGTAAATTAATGGATAGGTGCATGAATTATTTATAAAAGAAATTTAGGAAATAAGTTTTAAAAGTGAAATCCATTATAACCTCATCATCCATGGGAAGTCACTGTTAATTTTTGGAATTAGTTTCTTGTCCTTTAAAATGTATTTATAGTGTTTGCTATCTATATAAATATGTGTATAAGCACACATATCATTTTAAATATCACTTTAAGGCCTGTAGTAATTTTCATTAAAGAATGTAACAATTTATTACAATAAAATCTTATTGATGAAAAATTTCCAATGTTTGCTAACATAATCAATGCTGCTATAAATAGCTTTCTACAAATATCTTGCACACATAAAGTATATTTACTTAACAGATACGGAATTCATGGGTATAAGAGTATGGTGAATTTTTAGGCTGATACGTATAGATTAAATTACCTATAGCTTACTGTTGAAATGGCAACAGTTTTTCACTTCTCCCATAAGTAAATGGATTCCGTTCTCTTAGTTTTTGAATCTGGTGTTGTTTTTGCAAATTGCTTTGCCTAATAGAATGCCCTGGAATTGACACTGTGCTACTTCTGAGCTTAAGCCTCAAAAAGCCTTGCATACTTTTGATTACTGCCATGGGACCCTGCCTCCAGCAAGTAAGCAAGCCATGTGGATCTAGCTAATTCAGAATAGTTGTCCCAGCTCAGGCTCTAAATATGTGAGCATACCAGCACAGATTAGCAGAACATCCCAAGGTGCCTGCAGGATTGTGAGCCTATAAATGCTTGTTGTTTTATGCTGCTAAATCCAGGGATAGGTTATAAACTGCAATATCTAGTTAATTTATTCACATTTAGCAAATGATACTTCTGTGAAGTGTAAGAGTTCCAGTTTCCCCATACCTCCAACAACAGTAAAGATACTCAGTATGTTTATTGTTTGTATTTAAGTTTCTTTACTAATAGGACAGATCTTTTCATATGTTTCATATGTTATTGGTCACTTTTGCTGCTTCTTTTCTTTTAAATTAACTATCTGTATTTTCCTTTCAAGAAAGTCTTTTTAAAATTATAGAACCCAATATTAAAAGCAAAATTTCAAGTGTTCCATCAGATTTTTAATTGCTAAGTATTAAAATAGGATTAATTCCTGATCCAACTCAGATCCTCATTTGTACTTTACCCTTGTATATTTAGTGCCCATGTTCTGCATAGGCTCTTGTAAAAACAGTGAAATGAAATAACCCAAAGTTGTTGGTAATATTTTATAATAAAAAAATCCATCCATCCATCCTATAGATGAACATTAAAAACTAGAAAATATAAATAAGTAGAGGGTACTGCTTTTCCTTCATTATGGTAGTCTTATTTCTTCTAATTTAAAAGTTCCTCATGCACATAAAATGACAACTAAGTCGTAGTTTCCAACCACATTGAATCTTTGTGAAAATAATAAAAAAAACCCTAGTTTGCAAGAGAGAAAGGAATTTGAAACTTGTTTGAATGGGTGGATAATTTAAGGCCCCAAAAGTTTAGTAAAATTTGTCCAAGGTTAAAAATCAAAACATTGTAGACATAAGGTTAAAAACATAATTTAGGTTCCACAAAAAGCATATTCAGTATATCTATTTTACATTTCTAGTGATGTGCTTTTGAATTCTTGTTAAAGAAATATTTGCACAAACTTGAAAAATATAACCACATGGATGTACTTTCATCATTACTTCTTCCTGGCACTGAAATTTTTTTCTTCCAGGATGTCAGTAGCAAAAGATTATGGCTGTAGCCTGCTAGGGTAAATACAGTGCACTGTAAATAAAGTGCTATCAGTTCAGTAGTTGAGAATATTATTTTCAACCTCACACTTAACAACAAAATGTATAACACCACACATATTCTTTTCTCGCTCTAAATACTATTTAAGACTTTCAGTGCATTTTTTTAAAATTGGAAGTTTTAAAAAACCTACTCAACATATGGCAAAATGAAGTGGTAGTCTCTGATTGCTTTAAATATACTTTTTGGCTGATTTTCTGGCGGTTGCTTTACTGAATAATTTTTCTCAACAATCAATTTATTTAAGATATTTTAATTCACATATTTTGCTTTTTTAAATTGTTTTATTCTTTTTATTTTGGTTAAACAATATTTCTTGAAGTATCAAATGGAATGAGCAATATTGGTGGTATCACTCACTAGGATTTGCAGCAATTCAGCTGTCATAGCCCTCAGATCAGAGTCATAAAAGATCAAGGGATGAGTGTCAGGAGTCTGTGATGAGAGTAGAGAAAGGGGCATAATACTGCTTTAAAGACCTTCCTAAGCTGTGTGTAGTTAGGCTAAACTATTTTGGTTAGAAGAATGATGGTACAAGATGAAGTAAGACTGGAAAGTATTTTAAGGTTAAAATATTGTTCCTGATCCTAAACCAATAAATAACTACTATCTTGTGATTCTGTGGGAGGAACCACTCCTCCTGATTATGACCAAAGATTCTACAGAACATCAACGAGTGAGGTAAGTAAAAGAAGTAGGGGGCTAGAATCAGGAGACTTTTGGGAGTGGGCGTGTGGCAGGTCAATTAAGCTCTTCAGTGACACTGTGACTTTGATCAAGGCTCTTCGTTTCTCTGCATCTCATCTTCCTTGTTAATAAACTGGAATTTTATTTTATGACTTTTTAAAGTGGCTGACAGTGCTATTATTCTGTGGAGACTTTGAAACACATTATACCCAAGGGACTGAATGAATTTAATGGCAATATTGAGTCATTTGATTCATGCTTTGAAATAAAAGTGAATCACATTGAACTTTATACCCTCCTCTCTGCCTAGCAACTCTGATTCTAGGATGGATCCCTTCTGCACTACTCCTACAATTTTCCCTTTGTTTTTAGAGAGAGTGTGTATCATGGTGGTAATAAGTTGAATCTATGGAGCCAAATTATCTAGTTCAAATTTGCCAACCGTGTGACTTTGAAAAAATGACTTTTCCTACTCATGAATCAATTTTATCATCTGTAAAACAGGAATGGTATTAACGGAACTTTTCTCTGAGTTTTATTGTTTGTGTACATGAGTGAATATAAGTAAAGCCCCTGGAACACTGTCTGGTGTGCAGTATGAGCTCAGTCATTATTAATTATTATAAATAATGATATTTGGATAAGTCCATTGTTAATCATAATGTGATTCATGTTTCCGGTCACTTGTACGTAAATATACTTTACAAATAATAATATATTAATGATGACCATGAATGTAACTAATGCTGTACTTAACCAGGGATTAACTTTTATACACAGGGATGGATACATGTATTTATTAGTATATTCAATTAAAATAATTCACTTATTTCGGGAAGTTCAAAATAATATTTTAAAAATCATTTTGCTATTTTTATGACCTACCTATGTGGAGAAAAGAAATGTTGACTTTACACAGGTTAAGTAAAAAGTACCAGAGCAGATTGGACTGTTTGTCCAAGTTCACAAAGCAAGGCAGTCACAGAGACTGGCATTGACCTGTGGGCTGAAGGCACCTGTGTGATGGGGTGGACTTTATCCACATTTAGCTTGTTTATTACATATTTACTGCTGGTGTAGATGATACAGTTTTCAACTCTAACTGATAGCAAGTTTGCCAGATGGTCCATGTATGCAATAACATATTATATACATTGCTCCTTTCTGAAGAATGTAAAGGTCCTTATTTGCCTCTGAGGACAAAAATCAGAAATGTGATTTCACTGACTTGTCCTCAAGGGGACTGGAATAATGGTCTCAGAGCTGGATTCAGAAAGAGGCCATCAGAGAGGGAGCAGACAGATTTGGAAGAATAGACACGGAATGATGAGAGAACGAGATTCCCAGGGGCCTGCTCGAAAATAATTTAGCTGATACCAAAAGGCAAATGGATGTGAATTGAAACCCTGAACATCTCGGGCAGGATTGTGTCTCTTTTATCAGTAGATGGTCCTGCACAACCTTCCAAACAGTGGAGGGAGTCATGATGAGATTTTATTTCCATTAATTCATTGGCACTAGTAAAAGAAAACAGAGTATTCTTTTGTTAAAAGTGTGACTTTTAAAATGTAGCTATCCCCAAATGGCAGTGGTTGTACAGTGATAACTTTGTTATCTGGAATGATAGTCATTCAGAAGGGGTACTCTTGTAGCTTCTATTTTTACTGAGTCTTCATTTTATGGAAAGGTATTTGCCTTAAAGTCATGAAAATATAAAAGTGCTTTTTACTCACCCATTAAAGACTTCGCTTTCTTTAAACATTGTGTTAATGGGAAAATAAAACCATGTTTTAATTAAGAATGACAACTTTTCACTTATTCAAAATGTACTATAGTAAATTATGTAATGTAATACAAAAGTATATACATAATGTCTTTTATATCCAAATATTTTTAGTCTAGATTGTCTCGTATATGATGTAGGAAATATCTTGTTCTTCAAATGTGCTGATTTCCAACCTTAACATTGGTGACATTTACCCCAAATTCATAGTAATGGGATAGAGAATATAATTATATTACATAATTTAAATTAATCTTAAATTCGCACATGTGAATATTAAATATAATGTCATAGAACCTTAGATTTGGAAAGAAACAATATATAATTGAAAAGGAACTATAACTACTTAATGACTCTGAATGTTTTTTTAACAGTTACCAGACAAAGGATCATCTAAGCTCTGCTCGAGCACTTTGGAGAATTGTGTTTGGGATATTCTAATTAGTCAAAAGGTCTTTTTAAAATTAAGGCAAAATTTTCCTTTTTGAAATATCTACCTAATAGTTATACATCCAGATACAGACCATAATGTATTTGAGGACAGTTATGTCATAAATATAATTTATAAAACCTCAATATGATCACTAAATTCCAAACAGTTAAAGCAAAAGCAGTATTTTTAGTTTAAACTTTTTTGATTGGTTATGATATCTTCGGCACTATAATTATCAAGTTACATTCACTAGGTTATTTAATTATCATAATTAGTCTATCAGGTAAGCATTTTTAACCTTCATTTAGAAAAACAAAGAAACCGCAAGCCAGATAATTTTTAGGCAGTATTTTGTATTTAATAAGAAGTTTTATTTAATAACAGTAACAGTGCAAACACAGGCTGATTGGCTATTATATCCACCTGTGAGGTCAGCGGGGCAAAAAACATCATGCTTTACTGTCAGAAATGTGATTATAATGGACCCTGAAATGTTCTGAGCATGCATGTGCATGTTCATATTCAACTATAAAACTATTAGGATAATAATCTCTATCTGGAATCACCAAAACAACATCATGTAGGGTCACTCAGCCTTTTGTGGCCACAGGCATTTCTACTGCTATCCTGTGTTCTTCACTGTCATTTGCCCAAGAGCTAAGTGGTCACTTGGGCAACTATTATCTTGTCCAAACTGAGCTATAATTTGTACAAATGCTTTGTCTTATATAGAAAATCATTAATATTTCTTTATAATATACACAAATTATGTGATATTTACTAATAAGTAACACACATTTCTGGAAACAAAATGTTGACAAGTGCTGGTGATGTAAAAAATTATGTAAATTTTAGAATATAAAGAAGGAAATCATAAAGCCCTTTTTTTCGGTCTATTACGTCTTCAAGACCTCAATGGCAACAGAAATAAAAATGTCCAGGTTGGTGGAGTGATGCATTGAAAGAGAAAATTTTCGCATGGAATTAGGCAAGTGGTATGGGTGGAAAGAGAGACTAAACTGAGAGTATTGTGTAATACAGGAAAATTGAGTTTGTAAAATATAAGCACCAGGGTAGTAAACTCTTAAAAAATGTATAAACACCATGCACAGAAAAGAATCAATAGTAAAATGTTTGACTTAATTATTGATTATCTGAAAACAAAACCATAGCTTATACAGTAAAATTCATGTCTAATCCTGGGAGAGCCTTGTTAGCAGAGTGAGTAAGTTACTGAATATTTCTAAATACAGTATAGTACTCTTATCTATAAAATAAAAGAAAATGTGTAAAATGCAAAAAAATTATAATTTCTACCTTATAGATTTCCTGTAGACGTGACATGCAAGAAAGCCCGTGAAGGTCGTGGTGCATCACCTAACACAGCAGTTCACAAGGTATGGCCCACAAATCTTTGTGCATCCCTAAGACTCTTGCAAGGAGTCCTTTCAGTGGAAACTATTTTCCTAATAATACTAAGACATTATTTAGCCTTTTCTCTCTGTTGATATTTGTACTGATGGTGCACAGTCCATGGTGTGACAAAATGAGGAATATGCATGAAGCAAGAACTTTTACTTTCTCAGATATTATAATTGTTGTAAGGAAAAGAATTTGTACACTGATAGTTTAAATGAAGATGAGAACTCACCCCTTTTTTCCTGGAACATTATTTTTACATAAAAGAATGACTGACTAACAGAAAAATATGGTTATTCAAAGTTTGTGGGGAAAAGTAAGAGAGATCAGATTGTTACTGTGTCTGTGTAGAAAGAAGTAGACATAGGAGACTCCATTTTGTTCTGTACTAAGAAAAATTCTTCTGCCTTGAGATTCTGTTAATCTATAACCTTACCCCCAACCCCGTGCTCTCTGAAACATGTGCTGTGTCAACTCAGAGTTGAATGGATTAAGGGCGGTACAAGATGTGCTTTGTTAAACAGGTGCTTGAAGGCAGCATGCTCCTTAAGAGTCATCACCACTCCCTAATCTCAAGTACCCAGGGACACAAAAACTGCGGAAGGCCGCAGGGACCTCTGCCTAGGAAAGCCAGGTATTGTCCAAGGTTTCTCCCCATGTGATAGTCTGAAATATGGCCTCGTGGGAAGGGAAAGACCTGACCGTCCCCCAGCCCGACACCCGTAAAGGGTCTGTGCTGAGGAGGATTAGTAAAAGAGGAAGGAATGCCTCTTGCAGTTGAGACAAGAGGAAAACATCTGTCTCCTGCCTGCCCCTGGGCAATGGAATGTCTCGGTATAAAACCCGATTGTATGCTCCATCTACTGAGATAGGGAAAAACCGCCTTAGGGCTGGAGGTGGGACCTGCGGGCAGCAATACTGCTTTGTAAAGCATTGAGATGTTTATGTGTATGCATATCTAAAAGCACAGCACTTAATCCTTTACATTGTCTATGATGCAAAGACCTTTGTTCACGTGTTTGTCTGCTGACCCTCTCCCCACAATTGTCTTGTGACCCTGACACATCCCCCTCTTCGAGAAACACCCACAAATGATCAATAAATACTAAGGGAACTCAGAGGCTGGCGGGATCCTCCATATGCTGAACGCTGGTTCCCCGGGTCCCCTTATTTCTTTCTCTATACTTTGTCTCTGTGTCTTTTTCTTTTCCAAATCTCTCGTCCCACCTTACGAGAAACACCCACAGGTGTGGAGGGGCAACCCACCCCTACAAAAGTTGGGTATTTGATTGCCTTTTTTTTTTTAAATGAACAAAAGGAGCTTGTCATTTCCAGAAAAACAAGTATTGGTGGCAAAGATAAAATTCAAAATTTCAAGCAAAAATTAGGATTTTGAAAAATTTGAATCTGTCAAAATGAATTCTGTCTTTGGGATATTCTAATTAGTCAAAATATCTTTTTAAAATTAAGGCAACATTTTAAAATTCAACATAAAAATACTTAGAATATTTTCTTATGAGATCAAATGGTGATATTAACAAATGTGGTATAATGAAATGCATCAACATTTGGATTGTCTGTATAATTAAGTATACCAACGTTTTTCAAATGATCCAAACCATTCTCAGGTAAAATATTTATTCAGACTACAAAAGAACCAATAGATTTTTATATAGCAAAGTATAAGTTCATTAACATGATTTCAGATTCAAGATTGTGACTTTTAAGGACTACCACTTGCCAAGTTTGGGTATAGCATCAAAAATGATATTCACAATTATCTGAGACATTTAAAAATACTTTTCTATTTTCAACTATTTATCTCAGTGAGGCTGGATTTTCTTTATATACTAAAACAACATGTTGCAATGTATTAAATACAAAAGCCGATATGATTATCCGGCTGTCTTCTCATAAGTCAGATATTAACAACATTTGAAAAGACACATTTAAAAAGTCACTCTTCTAACTAAACTTTTACTTTTCAAAATAGTTACTTTTTATTAAAATGTATTTATTTTTCATACATTGTATTTCAACAAATATAATTTTATAATTTATGTTTTAGTGTCTTAATACAGATATTTCAAGATAAATCCATTCATAAGTATAATAAAAATTTCAGTTTTAATTTCAAATGAGGTAATATCAGTAGATACAACTTACATAAACAGAAGCTTTTGGCCGATCCTCAATACTTTCTCAAGTAAATGATTCCCAAGAAAATGTGTGTGAAATAAAGTTCTATTGCAAAGACATTTCCTAACATATTTTAACAATTCCTCTTTTTTGTATATCAGGACACATGTGGCTTATACTAGTTCAGATAGTGTTGGACAGCCATATGAGGTTCAGTTGTACAAGTGCTAAAAAAATGATTAACTTTAGAGATGAAAATGTGTCATCTTCCATAAATTCAGAGTTTAATTAGCACTGGCCCTATTGTTTATACCAGTATGCTTTTGCTTATGTCTTAGCTTATGTTATGCTAATATGGAATATAATTAGGGTTACTTACAAAGCTATCCTTCTTTGTTCATACTACAAATGGGTACTTCTAGAAAACATTCAAACAGCAATTATAGTGATACCAGCATAATCTTAGAAAATTATATGTTTTGTTAATGAATACATATTAACTGAGGGTTAGCTAGCACACCCGTAAGTACTTAGAAGTTAATAAAAATATACACAATCCTGGATCTTAAAGGGATTAGCACTTAGTGAGCTAATAGAGACATTTACACTCAATGCTGTAAACAAATTTTTATTTTCTTCCACATCCCTTTAATTCACTTTTTAAAAAAGCAAATACAAAATTGATTTCTAAATCCTTTCAGTGAAGCATAATTGATATGAAAGGCATTATTTTGGGGCTCAAATGGAAGTTCTATACATCACCTATACCAACTACTAGTTTTGGTCTTGGGCAAATTAGTTACTATAGAATTAATATAAATCGTTAATTAAACCATGTACATAAAATTGTTGGCACATAGCAGATACTCCATAAATATGTTCATTTTCCTCTAATGATAATTAGAGGAATACTAAATAAGATCCAACACCCTATGCAAGTTATTTCCCATAATAAACTTCCATTCTCGAGGTGGAAGAGAAGAAATTAATTTCCAAAATTCTCTCTATAGAACATGTAGATAGTAAGTCAATTCAACACTCCCTTTATAATATTTCTTCACACATAAATTTTTTTCCCTTAGACTGAAGGTAAATGTCATCTACTAATCTCTTTGAATTGAAGTTAACTCTTTAAAATAAATTATATTCTGACTGGCTCTGGATGAATACCTTTGGCTTTTGATGTACCCTTAAAGATTACATGAAAACCTAGCCTTCATTGAGAATAAGATAATAAGTAAAATTCAATAAGATGGACAAAGTTTACTGATGTGACATTTTGTTTTATTTGTATAATCTATAAATTATAATTTGTAATATAGATAAAAGAATGTAGGCATCTTAGAGGAAGGACTCCACCAAAAATTGAAATAAAACAAAATTAAATAAAAGGCCTTGGCTTATTTCCTTCCTGTTTTCATGACCTACTTTAATATCTCCTCTTACGGAGCTATTTGTGCTTTTAAAATATACTAGACTGTGAAGATTTCTGCTACTAGCCATGATGTTACTTTTACCAGAGTAGCTCTTCTGCTTAAATGATTATGAAACTAAAGTACACATAAGAGACAATTGTTTTCAAACCTTGTCCAGTATACAGCACATATTTGTAATTCTGGAGAGAGAGAAATTGTATGAGCTGAGGCCAATGATAGTCCCCATTTTTCCCCTGGGGCCACTTTATAGATCACAGCATAAGGTGGTGAAGCTCGAGAAGAAAACAGCAGTCTCAGTGAGCTGGGGAAGCCGACTTTGATGTTCGGGTCTACTGGTGTAACTGAAGTTTGTAGCAGGGGATATTGTGCAGAGAAGGAGCACTAGAAATCAGCATAGAGGTCCCCTGAAACACAGTGCTTTCTTGGTTTTCCTTCTACTACTGGCTTATTATTCCTTGGTCTTCTCTGCAGTTTCCTCCACTATTCCCTCAACTCTTAATGTTAAGATGACAGGCACTGTTACTCAGCTTTTATACACTTTGTACATCTTCTCTTTATACATTCACCACATGGATGATCTTATCCAGTTCCATGGCTTTAAATAAGTGCATATAGCTACATGTTGATAACATTCTAGTTTATATCTCTAGCTCAGATGTTTCTTCCAAACTCCAGATTTATATAAATGCATTTCTTCTCAACACTTCCACTTAAATGTCTAATAATATCTTAATTTGTACATGTCCATAGAACATAGAAATATAGTGTCATACAGTTCCTGAGTTATAGTAATTAGGTCCATGGTGAGGTAGTAGGAAACACTTGATCCTGTCAATTCTAACAAAGCCAGATAAACACCCATTTAGATCAGTAACACCAGATTGTTACAAAAGGAAGAACCAATTACCTGTTTCCTAATTTTTTATTCCTAGTCCCAAAATACAATTGTAGAATGAATTTGGTGCTTGATCAATGCTATGTACAAACTCCTTTGAAATAAGAATTTAATTGCACCAAAATTGTTTATTCCTCCAGAGTCATGAGGATGGTTATGTCTCAATGCCTCCCAGCAAGCAGAATGTGCAACTCAGCAGTTTCACATAATAGCCAGGATTTACTCACCTTATCTTGTGTGGTACACATGCTTTGTACCCCATTCCAACCAATCCCTTAATCATACTACTCATTTCT
This sequence comes from Homo sapiens, assembly GCF_000001405.40. Lineage (NCBI taxonomy): Eukaryota > Metazoa > Chordata > Mammalia > Primates > Hominidae > Homo > Homo sapiens. The sequence continues at coordinate 31,629,385 of NC_000009.12, read as the reverse complement.
GAAAGCTTATGCCATCAAAGCTAGGTCCTGATTTTCATAGAACTATCTCCCTCAGCACCATTTTATACAATTGACTTATTTATTACTTGCAAGTTAAATGCATTACTAGTGCTGGACCAATTATCACTGCCTAAAAAGCTTTATCTTGATTATGGTTCAAAACTTAATTATATCAGTTATTGAAATAAAATACATTTTGTGGTTGGATTTGCTGACCTATATAATATCTAATTTCTAAGAATGGAGAGAGAGAAAGAGATTTAATTATCTTCTAATAAATGTAATTTCCTGGGTTACCAGTTTACCAGCATGTAAAGATAATCTTGAGAGAAAAGCCACTGGGGCCTGATATTATACTGAACTTTCCAAGAGCCAGTGCATAGCTGATGAGAATGTAATTTATCTAAACAAAGCGGTGGCAAAGAAAGAAAAAATTCCTTTAGCACCTGCTGTTGACGCTTAAATGCATACATTCTTTAAGGTCTCTATATTTGGATTTAGTTTTTTTAATGTCATGCTTTGTCTTGGTTTTTGCATTTTTTTTGTACATTTGTTTTCAATCTATCAATTAGTGGTAGGACTATATTTGAAATAAAGAAAACATAGCTATAAACATAAATATACATTTAGATAGATATTCAATAAAATCCTAATACAGTTTATCTGCAGATACAGAAATGATGAATTATTTTTCTTTGTGCTCTTCAGTAACATCCAGATTTCTACAGACTGTTTGATTTGTGCAATTACAAAAAAACTGGTAACTAAGGTTAAAAAACAACAGATAACGAGGAGGCTCAATTCTCCTCTTAGATAAATGCTCCTGATACAGTAGGATTCCATACCTTTGACTACAATAACAAGGGCAATCACAAGTTTAATTTCATCCTCTTAGATTGATGGGGTTATTGGACTGATTAAGCTAGGGAATGCAGTATATATAGAATAGCTGTATTTCTGCGGATGACTTCTCACTCTATCCTTGAAGACATCATTGAGAAATGTTGGCAGAATTTCAATGTGGTTGGATGGTGTCATAGTTCAACTTACCATCACAAGGTGGGTAAATTAATATTTTTATATCAATCCATGTGAAGATCTTGTGGTAGATTTCTTTTTTTTTTCTTTTTGAGACGGAGTCTTGCTCTATCACCCAGGCTGGCATGCAGTGGTGCGATCTCGGCTCACTGCAAGCTCTGCCTCCCGGGTTCATGCCATTCTCCTGCCTCAGCCTCCCAAGTAGCTGGCGCCCGCCACCATGCCCAGCTAATTGTTTTGTATTTTTTTTAGTAGAGACGGGGTTTCACCATGTTAGCCAGGATGGTCTCGATCTCCTGACCTCGTGATCCGCCCGCCTCGGCCTCCCAAAGTGCTGGGATTACAGGCGTGAGCCACCGCACCCGGCCTCTCGTGGCAGATTTCTGAATATGATATTTTATCTAACAATTTCATCAATAAAAACAGATGTCATGCTTATTATACTTGTAAGTAATAAGGCACCCAACCTAGCTGACGTCTAAGCAGCTTGTTCAGAGAATGCATAATTGGAAAAAGCCACTATGTGAAGTTTGGATAGAGCAAGAAGTCTAAAAATTTTTGCACTTCTCTGAATTTATGGAGGGGGGGTGTTAAAAGTTGTTAACCAGGAAAGGGGCCTCAAGTATAGGATTGCTAATTGATAATAAAAATATTGGAGAAGTGACATCAGAAAGTTTGGCTTATAATAAAGCCAAAAAATTATATGCACAAATGATAATAAAACATATAACCTCATAGGCATGTTTTGAATATGAGTTTTTCTAAGAACAATAAGAATCCATTTTAATTCTATAAGCTTTTTGTGTGTTTCTGTGTTTGTGAGTGCATACGCATGCACAGTTTACATCTCTAAGTCTCAATGTGACTTAATAGTAAAATGTGTGGATTATTTTTGTAAGTGTCCTTCTTGCCAACTGCTCATAAATTGCAAGTGGGTTCACTGAGAAGCTTCTGTATAAATTTATGGTACTATCAATTTTCTGGTTAATTGATCTCGTATTTGATGATTGCAAACATGTTCAGCTCTATTAAATACAATGTCATTCTTTTCCCAGGGACCAGTTGATTTCAGTGTCTGTAAAAAGCCTATTATATATATTTAAAAAGAGGTATTCTATCATCCTTTGCTCTACTATGATGTACAAATTACAAAAAAAAAATCATAAAATCTTGGGAGTAGGAAAGTCTTTCAAAACATGGCAGAAAACCTATGATTCATAAAGGGAAAACAGAGAAACATATTGCAACTCCCTACACATGCACAGAAAATAAAGGAATAAAGGAAAATATATTTGCAAAGCACTAATGATACCTCTATAAACAATAATGTTTTATCTAAAAAGAAAAGCTAGGAAGGTATAAACAAATGATTATCAAGGATAATTCTGAAAAGAGGAACTTAGAAAAACTTCACTTTTACTCCGTAGACTTTCATATTTTTAGCAAATCATTTGCATTGTTTTGTAATAAAAGTGCATTTTAAAACTGTTGTCCTGTTGCCCATTCTATTTTTTGTTTGATTTTTTCTTTTAATATGTAAGTAAGAAAACAAATCTATTTGGAAAAATGCTTCTATTTAATTTTTTGTGTGTGATTCTTTAAGGAATATGCTTACCTCCGAGCACTTTGTTGGGTTATCTGCCAATACAGATAGTTTTAATTCATCCTAATGCCTTTTATTTCATTTTCCTGCCTAATTGCCTTGACTAGAACTTCCAGTAAAATGTTGAATAGGAATGGCAAGAGTGAACATCCCTGCTTCTTCCTGCTCTTAAGGAAGTACATTCAGTCTTACAACATGAAGTATGTTAGATGCAAATTCTTCATTGATGTGCTTTATCAGGCTCAAGAAGACCCCTTCTAATCTAGTTTTCTGGGTGTTTTAATAACAAAAGGATATTAGATTTTGCCAAATAATTTTTCTGTAACTGTGGAAATGATCATATGAGTTTTGCCATTTATTTTATTTATTGGCTATTTTACATTGATTGATTTTCAGATGTTAAACCAACTTTGCAATCTTGGGATATGTCCCAGTGCATCAAGATATATAATTATTTACATACATTGCTGGGCTCAGTTAGTTGGCATTATGTTAAGAAATATCTCCTTCTTCTTTGAAGGTTAGTTTTGCTGGATATAAAATTTGGGGTTGATATTTACTTTCAGCACTTTTGGTATGTTATCCCATTGCCTTTTGAACTCCGTGGTTACTGACTGAAAATCAGCTGTTAATGTTATTGAGATTATCTTGCACATGATGAGCTGGTTTTCTCTTAAATCTTTTTATGATCTAGAAATAGATTTTTTTATCTAGAAATAGATTTCTTTGAACATTTAAAACTGATATATACTCGAGCATATAAAATTGTAGAAGCTGAAGAATTGCAAAAGCAAAACTCTTTAAAAAATGTGTTTAGCCAGTGAAACTCCCTGAAACTCTATTCAAGCTGTGCCAAACCTGGGCCTTATTTCCTCTTACTTGATTCTGTCATCTCTTTTATTTCTCCCTTCAAAGCCACATTCTTCACCAACTATTTAATTTAAACTTCATACTCTTATTTTTCTAAGAAATAATAAGGACATTAATTTAACTATTTAACATTGTTAATCCACTTCACTCTTTTCTGAAAACAACCAGGAGTATACCTAAATATTCTGAGAAGAACTGTCCGTCAAGTTACAGGTTATTTCCTTTGACAAAAATTTTAAATAGCATTAGCAAGGGCTCTTGTACCATTCTCATTCATTAAGACAAAGATTCATAATCTGATCTGAGCATTATAGTCCTCAGTGCAGATGATGAGACTAAATGAAAATGCTTACTTCTTCACACTGTTCCCAATCACTATGCAAAGTGCAGTTATACAACAAAAGTGTGAAATTCCTTTCTATTTCTTTGAAAATAAGTCATTTAAGAAACTTATTTTGCTGTAATTTGGTTGATAACATATAGTGATTTTTTTAAAAGTTTAAGGTAGCGGTATCTTCACCAGAAAACTGTTTTTGCATTATGTTTAATTGTTGGTCTTTCATGATAAGACTAACAGAGATAGAAATGTAAAGAGTTTATACAAAATTTAAAATACTTATTTTTTGATAAATCAAGATTACTGAGTTAAGAGATGTGAACTGGACATACCAATGTAAACACTTTTTATATTCAAAAAGCTATAAAAGATAAAAAGAAAATTATCCATAAAGTGTTTAATGTTAAATAGCAAGAAGTTTAAAACAACACATTCGGTATGATTCCAATTTTGGAAAAAGAAAAAAAAGCTAATTTTATGAACACATATAGAGTGTGTATGTGTGTATATATAGGTGTATGTGTATTTATATGTGTGTGTGTGTGTATTTAACCACATACATACTTGTGTAATACACACACTATACACAAATGTAATAGCAAACTGATTTCTTCTAGAAAGTAAGGTAGTAGGATTGGGGATTAGAGCTTCAGGGATAATTTTATAGTTTATTTTACATATAAATGCATGGCTTTATTTATAAATTATAAATAATTATAAATGTATAAATAAATGTATTTAAAAATAGTATTTTAAAATAAAGCAATAAACTTGTGCTTTTCATTAAGACATAATACCAAAGTCCACTTGTGTTATTTAGTTGAAAATCTGGTTAGTCAGTGAGTTTCCAGGGGGAATCATCATTATTAAAATGGAATATTAAATTTTATGTGTATTCTCATATACTATAGAGGGCAATGTAAATATATATGGATTTCTGGGAAAGCAAACTGACATTATGTAATCGGCACTTAAAATTGTTTAGTTTTTCACATATTTTTGATGAGAATAAATAGTAACCCAGAAGATATTACTAGTTGGCAGGGATGCTAGGTTTCAAATTAAGGGTGAACTAGATATAAAATTAAATATTCAATGCAGTGTTATTTATTATAGTCAAACACTATGAACAATCCAAATTTGCTGCAGAAGGGAGATGTTCAAATAAACTAGTTGAGTTCCCACAATATCTTTTAAGCCAGTATTTACTGACATGAGAATATAATCATAATATAACAATTTTGTATTTTAACAGACTTGCAAATGGTATTCACAAAATGTTATCTTCTTTATAAATAGATACTCACATGTAGAAAAATATGGGAAGAAACAAAATACATTGTTATTAGCTTTTATCCCTGCCTGGTAATGAGATTATATGTTTTTAAATTTCTTTTGAAATAGATATATGGTCTCTAATTACAGAAAATGAGATGTGCTTCCTTCATAATTGGAAATAAAAATAATGCTTTTTAAGAGGCAAAATTATAATATATTTCCTATAGGATTTATTTTTGATTCATAAAGATTAATGGGTATTTATTAGATATTTATTGGCTTTGAATTTTCTGCTTTTTATGAAGTTCTTCAAGAGAAAATAATATCAAGAAGATAAAGCTGTGACTGATAGTATTTATGTAGAAAAATAATTTTTCTTTACTATTTAGCAGAGAAGAGCTTTTCTCATCATCCACAGGAGAGAAGGATAGTAAATCTCAAGTATTTTACGACTATCAGGTCAATGCAGCACATTTTTCTATCAAAGAATGCAGCAAACTGTGAGAATGTATAATCCCTGCAAATGCTTCTCTAGAAAAATGCCAATGGCTTCTACCCATAAAATGAGAAAGAAAAATGCATTGTCATGAATGATGAGAAGAGGGAAGCACTATGTCAATAGAATGACATTTTTAGAATTTCAACTGCATAGAAAGAGATGTCAGAATAGATTTGAGGGGGTGGAATTCATAGGAATTTATATTCTTGGATGCCGTTTGTATGTTATTTTTATTATAATATCTTAATTTGTTTACACTTATTCATATAATCAGAAAAGCTTTAATAATACTAATTAACAATTGTCTTGTGTCAGGCACTGTTCTAAACCTTGGGTATACAAGGCACATTTTGGCTCCAGATAAATTTACACTTAAGAAGAAGTTTTTTCAACAGTGTCCAAAAAGGATTTGAAACAATTATAGAAAAAACACAAGCAATTCTAATGTCTGTTATTGCCTTTGTTACCAGGAAACAATCAGATTTGAAACATCATAAATTAACCTGTTATTCTGAATCAGACTCTGTTCTTTTTCCTTGGATCTCTAACATCTTGACATAAGAGGATTAGTTGGCACAAAACAATAAGCAAGATAAACTTAATTTGGTGGCTGGTGTGTGAAGCAGGTCATTCCCACTTCTTCATGCATCTGATTATTAGAACATCCACCACCTCAATCACAAAAGCTAGAAAGAAGAGTAGGTGGGCTTAATGGGAGCCTTGTAGAATCAACAGTATGCCCTTTTGAGACTTGCCTCAAGGAAGTATAGTGGAATCTCTTATTTAATATTAGTTATTGTTATTGCACCATTTATTGTCAATTTTTACCAATTTATAGAGAAATGACTATGAATTATCAATAAATGTATGAAAAGTCCCTCTAGCTCATAAATATAAAAAATATAGCAAAATAAGGTTATCATATTAGTAATCATTTAAAACATTGCAATATCCAGTGTAGGTGAAGTGGGAGCATTTTACTCTCATATGCTGTTTGTGGGTTTGCAGATTGGTACAACTATTTTGTGGAGCAATGTGACATTGACATCAACATGTTAAAGTGGAAATTCTCATTCCGCCGTTATCATAGCTCCATGAAAGTCTTTACTTCCATGTGCTCTTGTCTCTGATGGTTTTATCATTGCCATCTGCCTTACTCTCTTCTTCCAGTGGCCAAAGTATTGACAGATTCCATACCCATCATTATGGGAGAAAGCAAATCCAGTTCTTTTTCCTGTGGTGGTTTCTTTTCTCATACTTGGCTATTCTAGGTTCTGAGTCTTTTAGCAGTACCTAGGGGGTTCCTTATTATTACTTCTCTTATACGCCAAAATGATTCATTTTGTTTCTCTTTCCTGTTTACATAATATAATGCGTTATTTTCTGCTACTCTTTACAGCGGTTTCGTAAGTTTGCTGGGTGAGAGTCTTTTTCTCCTCTGCAGCCCCTGACCATTTCAGTGCTACAGAAATGAAAGGGAGCTGTCATATCCATAGATACTCACATATTTATTTTTATTTTTTGTAATTCCAACTTTTATTTTAGATTAAGAGTACATGTGCAGGTTCGTTACATGGTTATATTGCATGATGCTGAAGTTCATGGTACAAATAGTCTCCTCACCCAGGTAGTGAGCATGGTACCCAAAAGGTCTCCCCTCTCTCTCCCTCTCTAGTGGTCCGCAGTGTTTATTGTTCCCATCTTTATGGCTATGTGTGTCCAATGTTTAGCTCCTGCTAATGATGGCAGAAGTGAAATTAGTACATTTTTCTGAATATGTTTCAATAACTAATCTTGTGAGCTATGAGAATGCTAGGCCTCAGAGCACATGACAAAAATTACTCTAACTAGTGGAAGAGCAGGTATTACTTTGACAATGGTTTAGTTGTTTCAAAGATGAAAGTATTACTCATAATTATGGCAATGTTTGTTTTCAATTTTGACATCCTAATAAAAGAGACCCATAAAAAATACCATGGGCCATATTTTAGCTTATCTTACTTCAATGACAGAATTTATTTCTAGTTAAAATAAAGACTATTATTTGCTACCAAGGAAGCAAGCAGTCCCACTATGCTCTGGTAGCTCACACAAAAGACAGGACCTGAGTAAAGAAAAATATTTCTTAAAAGGGAAAAATGGGAGCTGAAGCCTTTATCATATGGCATATGGTTATGGGACTAGGGATGTTTAGGCTCCTGTATCCACACAAATATTCATATAATAACTTAAGGCAGATATCTGAAGTACTGTTATGGGGAAGAGAAAACACACACACACACACACACACATATATATATATGTATATATAGAGTAAGTATATGTATAAGTATACTTATATATATGCTTGTGTTTTCTATATATATTGTATAATACATATACAAATATTTATATAATAACTTAAGGCAGATATCTGAAGTACTGTTATGTGGAAGAGAAAACACAGGCATATATGTGTATGTGTGTGTGTGTGTGTATATGTATATGTGGAATATATACATATATACATATATACATATATACATATGTATATACGGAATATATACATATGTATATACGGAATATATACATATGTATATACGGAATATATACATATGTATATACGGAATATATACATATGTATATACGGAATATATATACATATGTATATACGGAATATATACATATGTATATACGGAATATATACATATGTATATACGGAATATATACATATGTATATACGGAATATATACATATGTATATACGGAATATATACATATGTATATACGGAATATATACATATGTATATACGGAATATATACATATATACATATATACATATGTATATACGGAATATATACATATACACATATGTATATACGGAATATATACATATATACATATATACATATGTATATACGGAATATATACATATATACATATATACATATGTATATACGGAATATATACATATATACATATGTATATACGGAATATATACATATATACATATGTATATACGGAATATATACATATATACATATGTATATACGGAATATATACATATATACATATGTATATACGGAATATATACATATATACATATACACATATGTATGTATGGAATATATACATATATACATATATACATATACACGTATGTATGTATGGAATATATACATATACACATATATACATATGTATGTATGGGATATATACATATACACATATATACATATGTATGTATGGGATATATACATATACACATATATACATATGTATGTATGGGATATATACATATACACATATATACATATGTATGTATGGGATATATACATATACACATATATACATATGTATGTATGGGATATATACATATACACATATATACATATATACATATGTATATATGGAAGAACATTAAGGAAAAGAGCTATTGCATGCTGGGCTGAATACCTAGGTGATGGGTTGATAGGTGCAGCAAACCACCGTGGTACAACTTTACCTATGTAACAAACCTGCACGTGTACCCCGGAACTTGAAAAAAAAAAAAGCAATACAATTTAAAAAAAGAAAAAAAAATACTCTCTGGGAAAAAAAACGGCATAGCCATACATAAACCTAGAAAATATAATGTATAATCATAAATGCAATAAGAAAGCACATCCAGGAGTCATCTTCACCATTTGATACTAATTTGCTCACTGGCTGCAAGGGAGGCTGGAAAAGGAGATTTAGATGAAGGGAATTGGCATTGTCATGATGGTTTGGATCAATCACAATTCATCCAAAGTTGGGAATTTCCTGCTTTAAAGAAAAAAAATAAAGGCTGTGCTCTGAGATGAAAAAAGAAAGGCAACAGCTTAGGGGTCACCACAATAAAGGCTGCTCCACATTTTTTTGGTCTGATTTTCTGCCTGTCTCCTGATGTCTTGTGAGATCCCCAACAGAAAATTTTTGTCTTGTTAAAATTTTGGTCACCTGAGCCTAATGTCAAATTCATAATTGATTGTTAAATGAATAAAATGTATTGATGTCAGGATCCTTTCCAAAAACTCTGAATCATTTCCAGGAAAAGTTTGCAAGCTGCCTGTCTAGAAGGCTTTCCCACATACTATACCTAAGTCTTTCTCCATGTTATTCCCTCTACCTGTAACATGCTTCCTCATCAGGGTCTCATCACCCACCAATCTATTTTGTCAGGTACTGTTTACACCCTCCACACCCTGGCCAGGTACCACTTCCTTGTTAAGCTGCTCTGGCCAGCCTAGGCAGAAGCTGCACCCATTCCTTCTTTTGTGTGCTTTGCTATGTTACAGGCTTATCCTCTGAGGGACACTAAGCAGTTTGAAGGAAGGGTTAGATTCATGCCTAATATTTAGCATAGTTCTTGCCACAAAGTACTTGTTCAATAATGGTATTTTAAAACCATTTGCTAAGCTTTTCGTGTGGTTCCAGCTTGAAAGCTCTGAAGAATACATATATGCACTAGGAAAGAAAAGTTCAAGAGGGTTGTGCTTCTGTCAAGAAGACATAAGAATAACAGGAATCATTGCCTTTTAAAAATTCATGTTTTTGTGATGATTAGTATAGATATTTTCCCCAAGGTTAGCCCTGGTCTTCATCAACCATTTTTTTTTTTTCTAGAAACAATGTTCAAATTTGTGTTGCTAAACTTATCACTTTTAGTTCGAGTCAAGTTTCATGAAAAGCTTAATTGTCTTTATTTCAACTTTTTCATACTTATTTAAACTTATGAAGAGAACTTATATTTTCTCACATTACCAAAGTCTAAACAATTTTTCTAAAGTGGAATGCCTAGGGGCTAGTTGTTACAGCAATTATCAATTATATTTGGCTTAATTGTTTGCAAAATTAGCTTTTTAAAGTACCATTTAATTCTCTTTCCAGTCTCACTTCTCAAGAAGGTAATTAATGAACTAACCATAATCAAATATGAATGATAAAGCACAAGAAACTTTTATATGAAATTATCATTGAACTTTTGCTATACTGTCTACCAGCTGGTGCACAGGTACTCCAGGGCACCGAATGCATTAGAGACTTCAGTGCCTCCCTTTTTACACCTCCCCCACCCTGTTATATCATTGTTTTGCAGCCACATATCTGACTTACTACTGTAATCAAAAGTCCTATCTGAATTAATCTATCACTTATTATTATAATAATTATTGCTTTGATAGTTTATGAGCTATCAAAAACATAAATTATTTTAGGAGCTGCAGAAAATACATATTAACGTTGATCTGTCCAATTTCTGTGAAGTGAATCTCCTATGACCCTAAAACTTCACCCCAATGAAAAGAACATGTCCTGAGATTTTCAGTATCCATTTCATACTCTAGGTAGCAACTGAACCTGCAACTCCTACCTCCTATGTCATAAAGAAATATAATTACTTTAAGAAAAACAAAAAGAAGCTTCTCTCCAAAATAATATCGGGCAACCCATTTAAAAGTATCTCTGGATCTGTCTTCTTTGGGATTACAGAAATATAAAACAGTATTTCCAGTGGAGGTAGCATTCAAAAATGCAATTTATTATTGTTCTCTTTTTATTGCAAATAATAACTACTATTTTAGAAGAATTGATGAATAAAAAAGAACACACACAAAAAATAGTCCAAATCAATAGTTTCTAATTCTATTAGAGCTAACCTTTATTAGTCTTAAAATGTAAAAATTTATATATGTATATTTAATATTTGCATATTTAGTACATATATAAATATGTAACTATAAATATCACATTATTCATTTTCTACATTTCTCATGGTGTTGTTTCCACATACCTTTTAATGGCCATGGAATATTTCATCATCTGGAGAGGCCATAAGCAATGCAATTAACCTCTTATTGGACATGAAGGTTTTCAACTTCTTACTATTTTGAAAACATTTCATGAAATATATACTTTTGTCTATAACTCTGATTACTTCCTAAATGTCAAATTTTAGAACTAATATTATTGGATGTATTAGTTTTCTGTCATTTTGTAAAACATACTCACCAATTTAGCAGCTTAAAACAAGATCCCTTTATTAAAAGCTCCCAATTCTGAATGGCTGAAGTCTGAGCATTGGCATGAATTCTCTGTTTGGGTTCTCACAAGGCTGAAATCAAGGTGTCAGCTGGCTGTGTCCTCATCTGAAACCTGAAGTTGTCTTCCAAGCTCACATAGTTGAATCTTAATTCAGTTTCTTTCAGCTGTAGGATTGAGGTCCCTGTTTCCTTGATGGCTCTCAGCTGGTGGCCACTTTCCACATTCTTTGTCGCATGACCCTCTCAATCTCCAAAACTGAGCAATGGAGAATCTTCCTGTATTAGTTTTCCCAGGCTGCTGTAACATACCATGGACTAGGTGGCTTAATTGACTAAAAATTATTTTCTCACTATTCTGGAGACTAGAAGTCCATGGTCAAGGTGCTGTCAGGGTAGGTTTCTGGTGAGGCCTCTCTTCCTGACTTGTAGACAGCCACCTTCTTGCTGTGTACTCACATGATCTTTCCTCTGTGTGCTTACAAAGAGAGGAGTACCTCTTCTGCTTCTTATAAAGACACCAGACCCCACCTTTATGACCCCATTTAGTCTTTATTATTTCATTATAGAACCTGTCTCTAAATACAGTCACATTGGGGGTTAGAGTTTCAACATATAAACTTCAGGGGTACACAATTTAGTCCATACCACTTTCTCATATCAGATTTTCCTTATGCTTCAAATTTTTCTTGCCAGGAAAAGTCCAGTCTTTTTAAGGGCTCAACTGATTTGGGCAAGCCCACTGAGGATAATCTCCCTATCTTAATGTTAACTGATTGGGACCTTCACAGCAGTATTATCTAGACTAGTGTTTGACTGAATAACTGGAAGATGATTTGTTTCATGATGGGGTGAGAATCTTGGGGGCCATCTTGGAAGTTGGCATACCACACTGAGTCAAAGGATAAGGTACATATGGCACTGGTGTGACATTTTAAAGCCAAAAGTAACACTGGACATTCAGTGTCACCTCTGCCACTAACTGTGCAAATCATGTCACTTCTCAGGACTTTAATTTTCCTATCTGGAAAATGAGTCTAACAACTCTGTTTCTGACCTGATATATTACCTTTTTAGGAAGAATCACCTTTAGTGCTGCTTGACAGTTTTTCTTTGTTTAACCCTTCGTCTATACTGTCCTTTATTGTTATGCACTGACAGCAGTAGCAATTTCCTCAAAAGTTAAAAAAAAATAACTGCATGAAAGTGAAAACAAATGGAGCTTAATTCTCCCCTTCTAAGAATTCTGCTCATGGTTGTGAGAATTCCCAGGGTACTTTTAGATGGACTCCTGACTTGTAATGTGCCCCTGTAGCTTCTTTAGATGGTAGAAGCTTACATCCATGAGGCTATATTTCAACACTAGATGACAGGCATTTTGGTGAGATTTTAGTATTTTCCAGTGTTACCCTTGTCATTTAATAGGCTCCTTCGAAAGTGCAGAGCACAGCGTGGTAGTACAGATCCCCGTGCTGTGAATGTCTGATCTCTTGCCTTCCCATTGAATGACTACTGCATACCTCTTGGGAGATCCTGATGCTTAGTTTCTCATTCTAATTTCTCAGCACCACCTCTGCTTTTCTCTTAATGGCTGCCATCCCCTGCAGCGCTCACCACTACATTGCCAACAGCCTCTCTTGAATTTACACAACACTGACAGTTATTCTGACTGGTCAAAGCAAGAGAAAAGATAATCTGCTTCTATCTTCATTTCTTATCAGCTTATAGTGATTCCCCATAAAATAAAACTCTTCAGCTTTTCAAACAAATTAGGCTTGCATTATGCATGATGAATTACATTATCTAGTTATATATTACCATAAGTTCTGTTAGAAGTATAGGACTTTTACAAAGTATTTCAATGGGCCATGGAATATAGGAATGGGCACTTATGGAAGACAATTATGTTTGGTATCAATGCGAGAAAAAATATTCATGATGCTTAACTGGCTCTATTCCTTGAGATGAGTAATTGACACATCATAATTATAGTTTACAATAATAATTTCCATCTTATTATTTGCATTATAGTCATAGTTTCATTCATGCAGTGCAGCAGGTGACAATAAAAATGATTTATGCTAACTTCTAATGTGTAGTTACTAGGTATTAGGTGATGGACTAAGCATTCACATGTGTTATCTCATTCACTCCTCATAAAAGTACAATTACATAGGTATTAGTTACCCTATTTTACAGATGAGGAGACTGAGCAGAGAGAACCTGAGTAACCATGTCCAGCTCACAGAAACAATGAGTGACAAAGATAGTATATGAACCCATTCTTTCTGAAACCAGAGACAGTGCTCTGTTGGAATATGTGAAATATTCTAATTTTAATAGATTTTATTATGTTTTCTTTTAAACATAATGTGGTAGGCTAGACAGAGCAAAGGTTTTGAATTTATACAGAAGGAAATTCAAATTTCATTTCAGTCACTTACTAGTTCTGTCTTCTTTCCAAAGTATTTACTCTTTACCTCGCAGATTCCTTATCTATCAATGAGAAAATAAAGCATTCCACAGCAGGTGTTTTCTTTTCACTCCACATGGCATATGTAATCATTAAGAGTATCTATCTGGATCTCTGTGTTGAGATGGATATTCTTGCCATTTCAGTGGGAAACTCTTGTGACAGATTAGTAATGTTCACAATGGATACTTAATTGGAGGCTACGTATTTGCTAACCCTAGGCTAGTGTATAGTAGAACCTGAGATGTAAAAAATATAGGCTTTTTCTCCTATCATCAGGTTTTTAAATTCCATGAGTATATTTAGAATGCAATTAGAGATTTAAGCTTGTTCATTTGTCAAGCATTGAATTAACTGCTATGTGAACTTTAAGATAAAATATAACCACTGGGTTCTAAGAGTTTATGTTTAAGTCTGATTTCAGGATAGAAGAAGAGAGAAGAAAGGAAGGTAACAGCTAACTTTGGGGAATCATATCACAAAAAATGCAAAAATTCCTAATCTGTTATTTTGTTTCAAAGTAAACATTTGGACCACAAGTCCAGAACATTCATGGAAATTAATAGACAATTTGAGGTAATCAGCAGCAAATCTGACAGGTGTGATCTAATTTGCTTTAGCCCCAAATTCTTACCACATGGAAACTTTACTATTCCTCCTTCCATTTGATTTCCTCAGCTGTCTGTCCTGTCCCAAACTTTTGGCCCAGTATGCTTGTCCTGGAAAGAACATCAGACAAAACAAAAACAAAACCGAAATACAGATTTGTAGGGGATTTAATTTGTCTCCAGGTTCAGACTGGTTCTAAAATATGCCTCATGTCTGCAGCTCTTTATGACTGGGCATCTTCTGTGCTCTGGTCGGCCTGTGTGCAGCTACAAATGTCCTGAGAAAACAGCTGAAAATAATGAACATGTGAGGCCCTCTCCAGAGGCATCTTCACATCTTTGGGATCTCTACCCAGTGTACCCAAGAACAACCCTGCTGTGTTTGCACTCTCCCCACCCTGGTGTGGTGAATCAGTTCAGCTGCCTTTCCTCAGATGTCACTTTTTCAGATGATATTATACTTTATGTTCGTAGGGTAAATTGAGCAGGTCACGTTATAGACCTCAAACATATTAGAAGAGCAGAGTAGTATCTTTTCTTCTGATTAGTGTTTTCTCTTCAACAGCTGTTTGGGTCACTTGATAGCCTTGAACATGAATAGTGGGCAGAACCTGGCCAGACGTACATAGGAAGATGAGTTATTATTCACCAGCTCTGGGAGGGTCAGAAAATTATCCCCTATTAGAACTACCAGTTTTAGCTCCTCACCTAGGAGCTTGATGAAATAAGTTGGCTCTGAAGACAGGGAATATATGCACCTAGGTGTACATGTTTGAGTGTTTCATACATTCTGTACCTAGCACATCCCCCACTTTGTGTTTGGGTATCTTTCTTCTCTAAAGCTTAACATATTTTATTATAGTTAAATGTTCAGTTAGAGAATAATGATTATGACCCTGACTTTAAGCTTCACTAATTATGAAAACAGAGATGCTGAATCATTTATAGCATTTCAAACATTGGAAATGATTACATTCATATTTCAAAAGAATATGTTCTATTAATGCATTCATTTTTTTCAGAAGAATGCTGAATATCTTTTAAAGATTCTGTGTTTTCGTTATCATGCCTAAATAATGCCACATGCTCCTTCAAAGTCTTGAAGAATAAGGTTGTTGACAGAATTCAGTTTCAGGTGATTATAAGATGGACGTCTCAGTTTCTTTGCTGATTATTCTCAGCTTCTTGGGCCTGCTCACATTTCCTGGCTCATGGCCCCCTTCAAAGTCCACAAGTGCAGGTAGAGTCCTTGTCTCACTTTGAATCTCTCTGACTTTCCCTTCTACCATGTATCTTCTAAGCCTTCCCCTTCTGCATTTCATTGTCTCTTCAGCCTTCCTTTTGCTTTTAAGAGCATCATCAGAAAATTCATGTTAACTTTTCCTATTTAAAGGTCAGTTGATTCATAATCTTAACCTCATCTGCAAAGTTCCTTCAGAGCAGTACCTAGCATAGTCTTTGATTAAATAACTAGGGGATGAGAATCTTGTAGGAACATCAAAATTATGCCTCTCATACTGCCTATATTCTCCAGGAAAATTTTGAAGTTTTGTTTTGAGACAATTGTTTGACCCATATCATACAAAAATAGATGTAATAGTAAGTGATTTGTAATAGTTTTCATTGTTGCTTTTCAATAATCAGCAAGCATTTTAGAGGCACTCTTTTGTTTACATAAAACAAGTATGCTAATAAATGGAATTGTCAAAATAACCTCATTCTAGTTTATCTAGTTCTCAATAATAGTAATGAATGACAGTGAGTCAGTTTTCAAAGAATTAAAATATAATGAATGAGTAATAAGAATAATTTCCTGTGAAGTGATGTCAGCCTCAGCCTGGGTCTTATTATTTTGTTCCCAAAGGTTATAAAGAGGAATTTTCTCTGAATTGGAAGGAAGAATGTTTAGAGAATGAAGGAAATGTATTTTCATATACTCACTATATAAGATATTTGGCAAATTCTCACAGATAGTCCTGATTTTACATATTTTATGTGATAACTACTTCCTGAAGGGGCCAGAAGTTAGAAGAGTCATTTTTCAAATCCTGCTGAAAATGTTCTGAAATTGTTCAAAATATAGTATATTTTGTCTTATGAGTGGTCAAGATTATATGCTTGGTGACTCACATCCTGATTTGTCTTTTCTCTTAACTTATTTTTGAGAGTAGGTAGAGATATTGGCAGTGGTGATGGTGATAATTAAGGCAATGACACTGAAGGAAGAACAAGGAGGATACCCAAGATATGTGTGTGTGTGTGTGTGTGTGTGTGCGCGCATGTGTGCATGCACCCATGTGTGTGCGTAATGGGATATTAGAAATAGAAATTGGGAAATATTTTGGATAAACCACACAATTATAAAACAAAAGTTGTTAATTAGCGTTGTATAGTTACTTATTGATAATGTTTCAATTGAGTGCTTGAGTTTTCTACATTTATATGTTAATTTACTTATAAAATAATCTTATGTATTTTGTGAGTTATAAAACAACAATACCAGCTCTTGTGGCAAGAAAACAAAAGACATGGTTAGTTACCATTCAAGTATATTGTTAGCTCTGTAAATATTTTTTCCTTTAAAATTTGATAATAAAATGTATAACGAGAATAGGTTTAATGTGTCTATAAAACGTATTACTCTTATTTAAGATTTATAATATATGCATAGGTATTGAGAAAAGATTCTTCACATCTACCAGTCTATAGAAATAATTTAAATAATTGAAACTTAGATTGTAACTTTCCTTAGTTACACAGAAAATAACCTTTGTGTGTGTATGCATATGCGTTTGTGTGTGTGTGTCAGTGAATCTGATATTTGAAATCAATATTTATATTCAATATTTAAAATACGTTATTGAATGTCTAAAATGTACTTAGCACATAGGTAGAGGATATAATTTTGAAACAGGAAGACATAATCCCTGACCCTTGAGAATTAAAATTTAATTGGGTAAAAACATTGTTTAAAATCAAAGAACCGAGATAAGGACCTGCATGTAAAAACTTATTAAATGGGTATCAGACTTACTAGTCTAAATTTTAGAAACAAAGTCAAAAATGATGTAATATAACTTTAAAATATTTCCCCCTTCATTCTTACTATGTTGCTTTTAGTTTTTCCTTAAACATAAGAAAATATTTGAAAATTATTTGCAGGTACTTGTTTGTAGAGAGAAAATACACACACAGTAAATCAGTTTGACTTTACAGATGACTTTCAATTATTTTAACCAAGGCAATTATTTCAATTGACTTTTGAGCAAACGTGAAATGATCATGAAACCCAACAATGGCCATTAGGCATTACTGAAAGTTTCATTTGGCATTTGTATATAATAAAGGGAATACAGAAGCCACTGACTCATTACATTTAATTTAAATGTCTTTCCAATTCTGTGTTTTATATGCTTATCCAGTTTCTGTTATGAATGGAACTTCTAATGGAAATAATGTGAATTAGTACAGAGGCTGAGATTGAATTAGCATCACAGAATCTTCCACGGATGAGATTTTTAAGGAAGTAAGAATATGTGATGCAAGGAGCTTAAATAATGTCACTGGCAGCTTCCACAGTGAAATTTCCAAAATGGGTTCAATTTATTTTTACAAACCTTAACGTCATCAAAATAAAACAGCCAATGCTTAGTGATGGTTGAGGGGCAGTCGAAAAGATCAGAGTAAATATATAAGGATAGATGTGTGGTCTATATTATTCCCCATAGAATTGCAAATTACAGAATTATTAATTCAAGAGTAGCAAAAACCAATAGTTCTACTGAAAATTTTTATCCCCTCCCTTGGATTAACAGTAAGTCTACATTTCCCAGTCTACCTTGCTGTTAGATGAGGCCATATATGTGAGTTCTTACTAGTGAGTCTTTGTGCTAGTAATATGAAACTTTACCTGTTTGGACCATAAAGTACTGTGACACAATCTCCCTCATACTTTTTCTGTGCCACATAGTTACAGATGGAGATGAGGCCAAGGAGATAGCACAACCAGATATGGAAGGAACCTAGATCCCAGGATTACTTCAGGGAGGAAGTCCATTCTACTGAATAAGACACATACAAGATTGTGACATGAGCAAATGTTCAATAACTTTTATTTTGCTAAACCACTCAACTTTTAGAAGCTATTTATCATCAACACAATGTTATCAAATAGGTTGATCTACTCTCAATCCAGAAAAAAATCAATTTCTGAAGGTTAATATTTACTATTATTTTCATTACTTTCTGAGACTAGGAACACACAATAACACAAGATCAATAATTTAAAAAAATCTATAAGTAGAGAGAAACTATTTTTATATCTTTAAACTTAGTTTTGTCTCTTGTAATGTTCACACTGTTACAAAGTAAAGAATGAATACAAGTTGCTCTGCTGAATTCAAAGTGATGCTTTTTTTCTTAAGTTTTCTGCCCCTTTTTCCAAGAAGAATGATATTTAACATTCTTCTCACCAATTAATATATTTTGAGCAGATCCTCTGTTAAATTCGAGAAGCATAGAGTAATCAAGACAGGCATGGCCATACCCTCATGAGATTTTCAGCCCTAGAGAAGATAGATATTAAAACAAGTAGGTACCAGTTGCTCTATATGGCTACTATGAAAAGAATGGATAGATTTCTAAAACGCACCTGCTTTCATCACCACAGTAAAATCATAGATTACACAGACTAGAAAGTAATGAGTATTACCTAATCAACCACTCCGATTCATATGTGAAAGAACTGAGGTGTAATGAAGGTATTGGTTACCCTATATTCACTCATATCATTAGTCTTTCATTGAAAAATATATCGAAGCATTAAAATCACACTGCCAACTTACATTAATTATAAAACTTTGATACCACTGAACTGAAGCATTGTTTTTTTACAAACTCTGTTTATAAACATCAAGAATTGCTGAGTTCCTTTGTGATACCAAAATTATATTAATGACAATTATCACGTTTTGAATTATCAAGTGTCTAGGATTTGACTCTGAACTGTTTAGAATTGATTGAATATTCAGGAAATTTTATAGTCCTTTGTTAATCACCAAAATTTTAGAGTCAGGCCATTATAAATCCAAGTTCTAAAGCTCTGGCATTAATTGATCTTGTTATGTTGGTCAGTATATCTAACATGTGTATGACTTATTTTGGTTTGTTATTAACTCATGCATATATAAATTATATCTGGTAAGAAAGATGTACATTAAAATAAGAGAACACCCTTTAAAATTCAGCTCAAAAAGAGCAAGCTTATTTAGCTCTCAGGACAGGAAGGTGAGAGGCAACAGACTGCTGGTATCTGATCAGCCATATGCTGATGTCATGGTCAGTGTTACCACGACTACCTTCCCACCTCCATGGTTTTTACCTTATTGTCTCTAAATGGCTTTGTTATCTCTTAATATTATTTCTGCCTTCTGCCTCATTTATCTTTTCTTTTAAGAAGGGGTGCTCTCTTTGTGGAATTCCACATACCATAGTTTGGCCAGAAGTTTTTCACCTCCTTCTCTACAGCTTTAAGAACAATGTGAGGTTTAAACACGGTCATCTCAAATGAAATCTCAGTTCTGTTAGTCATAAAAAAAAGCAAACAAACAGAGAAATGAATATTAGAAGGACAAATAATGTCTGGCAGATCAAGTCACTTGCCTTATGGGCCAATATGAGAATTAAATTAAATCAAATCATGGAAGCAAAGCCCTTACCAAAGTGCCCTGAACAGAGTAAGCCCTCAGTACAGTGAGCTATTATTATCCATTCACTACCGTTGAGTGTGCCAAAATGAAATATTAATATAAACATTGATACAGATAAATGTTTCTGGATATATCCTGGAGCACATGGTAGGAATATAATTCTCCTTCCTCCTGAAATATGATCAATGAAATATGAGCAGAAGTGACATGTGTTACTTCTATGTGGAAGCTTTAAAAGTCAACATACAACACACCATGTTCTCATTTCCTTCTTGGCAGAGTGGCAGCATTGTAGATGTGGATGGTATGTGAGGCTGTGTCATGAAGAGAAGGTAATATGAAGCTGAAACCTCAGCTGCCCAGCCAAGACAGATCTGGAGCATGAGAGGGAAATAAAACTTACAGCTTTAATCCATAGCCCAGCCTATTCTGATTCACACATATATTTCATTAAATTCTTTTACTAAAGAGGACTAGCTCTTACTGTGGCCCTTCTTAAGTGAGTTTATAGTCAGAGGTGAATGATCTGCCTAAAGTCACACAACTAGCAAGCAGTAGAATCCAGGTTTGCACCCTGTTCTAATGTTTTTACAAGTAATTCTAGGGAATACTCCTGTTTGGCTTCAGGACACTAAGTGAAATGGAAAAGATAGTGTGTGAATTTTTATTCTGTTTCTTTTTTTCAAGACTCATCAGTACTGAACTCAATGTTTCATTTCCTTGCAGATAATTTTATGATAAGAAGGATCTTTAATATCAGGCAGATAAAAATAATGGGAAGTAAGACAGGTTGGGATTTATGATATTTTAGCTCTTTAACCTATCTCTGTGTTTTCTTACCTATGCATTAGGATCCATACTTCTTAATGTGCTTTTCACAAAGTACTTTGAGAATATCATATCAATGATTTATAGTACATAAATGATTCTTTTACATTTATACATTTTATTCTAATTTTAAGTTATGCCCAAGCATTAACCATCAAGTCAAAACAAATTATTATAAGTACAATAAATTATATTTTAAATCATAAAGTTATTTTCCATTAGCGTAAAGGAAAAGAAACAAAATAGGAAGGTCAGCATTTACTTTATAATAGGCAGAATATATTTTACCTTTTTAGAAAGAGCAGCGAAATTTTCAGGGATTGAATGCCATTACTGCCTTGTGAGTTTAATTTTGTCCACTCATCTGAGGCCTGGAAGTTGTATCAATATTCCATGCTCAGGAAACTATATGAAGCTAGCTATTGCTAGATCTCAGATTTTGTGTAGAGCAGTTGTTAGTGATGAGATGTGAGAGAAAGACAACAATCTGAATGTTACATGAGAATGGGTTCAATTTTTTCTGTATTAGAGTTGCCTAAATATATGATCTACATGGGATTCCCCTAAACATATTTGTGTTTCAGAAACTTTACTCATGCATCAATATACAAGTCGAATGTTGAGAGGGTAAGAATTAGAATCTGCAGGTCCATCTGAAGTCTATTCCAGAATTTTAGATGAGATATACTAAGGAGAGAAGCAGTGGATATGAAGAGAAAGCATAGATTGGAGACATATGTAGGAGATGTAACTGAAATATCTGGGTTATTTTTCATTGGGAATGGAGGGGACAGTGGTTAGGTGACAGGGTTAATGATGTGCCGTCTACCCCCACAGGAAGTATGAAAGACCCCTGTGTTTAGGTGAAAGAAGAATGGCATTATGTTTGTCACGTATTGCACTTGACATTGCTATTGGAAATATACAACAGAAAGTTGATGGTCTGGGTAAATAAGTCTGGACCAGAAATCTACTTAGGAGATTCATTTTTCAAAGGTGGCATTTGATTCCTTGATTTTATGTGTGGTCACCAGTGGAATGTATAGAATGAGAAGAGAAAATATGGAGAAAACATGTCTCAAGTAACAGAGAGAAAGAGGAGAGACAATGTGGAAGACTCAGACAAGCTTTGGAAATGCCTTCCAGTTACAGAGATCCACAGTGTAAATGCCTCCCAGGGAGACCTGTGTGATGAATGCTGAAATGGGATCTGTATAAGTGGCAAAGGGAAATCACAAGTGTTGATGGTAAGAATAGTGTCAGTGCGATGACTGGGCCAGAAACCTGGCAGTGTTGGTTGGAAGAGAGAGAAATGAGAGAATATATAATTCTTTCAAGAGAATAGTTTTATAGGAAAAGAACAAAGCAAGTTAATGTTATGTAGTTAGAAAGCTATGCAGCTTCAAAAAGCATTATTATTATTATTATTATTATTTTAAATAAGAAAGACTTAAAATTGCATATATATGAAGGAAAGAAACTGGGAGAGAAATGGTCTGAATCACATTAGTATCATAGACACAGCAAGGGCGTGAGGACTTAGAAGGAGATGGGAGCTAAAGCCTGGGTGAAAGGATGTAAAAAAAAAAAACAAAATGCAGGGAGACGGGAAGGTAGAATGAGTATTGAAATAGGTAAGTGTGTTAGCAGGACATTTCAGATAGAAACTATTATTACCTTAATTGATTCTACATATAGAGGTGAAGGAAAAAAAATGTAGTACAAAAACGCCAATTCAAAATGGATTAGAAACCTAAATTCAAATCTTAAAACTTTAAAAATTCTAGAAGAAAATGTAAGAGAAGAATTTTGACCTTCGGTTAGGCAAAGATTTTTCCAAATGCAATACCAAATGATCCATAAAATAATAAATTGATAAATAGACTTAATTAAAATGAAAAATGTCTATTCTGTAAAAGACTCTAGTGAGAGAATAAAAAGACTGAGTATATTTTCAAGTCATTTATTTGATTAAGAACTTGGGTTCAGAATATACTTAAAAACTGCAAAACTCAGTAATAAAAAAACAACTCAAAAAAGAATGCAAAAATGTAAACACTTTACCAAAAAAGATGTACTTCGGTAAATAAGCAATGAAAAGATGATCATCAATACCACTGTCATAATACAATGCAAATTTAAAAAGCACAATAGCATACTGTTATATACCTATTAGAACAATTACATTAAAAAAGATGGACCATACTAGTTTTAGGCAAAGATACGGAGCAACTGGAGCTCTCAAAGACTGCTGGTGGGAATGTAAAATGGTACAATTTTTGGAAAATAGTTTAGCAGTTTCTTAAAGAGGTTAGCATACTCCTATCATATGACCCAGCCATTCCAACCTTGGATATTTACCCAAGATCAAAGAAAGCACATATTCATAAAAGACTTGTAAATAAATGTCCATAGAAGCTTGATTTGTAACAGTTCAACCAGAAAACAACCTAAATGTCCAGTAACAAATAAATGGATGAATAAACTGTGGTATATCCATTCAACAAAATATTAATAATAAAAAGGAATGAATTATTGATACAACCCAACATGGATGGATCTCAAATAACTTATACTGAATGAAACAAGCCAGACCAAAAGAGTACATTTATATAAAATTCCAGAAAATACAATCTAATCTATAGTGACAGAAGGCTAGTCAGTGGTTGCCTGGTATGATAGTTTGCTAGGGCTGCTCTAAGAAAGTACCACAGACTGATGGTTTAAACAACAGATATTTTCTCTCAGTTTCAGAAGCTAGAAGTCTGAAATCAGGTGTTGGTGGGTTGATTTCATTCTGAGATTTCTTTTGTTAGCTTGCAGATGGCTGCCTTCTCTCTTTGTACCTCACGCGGTCTCCTCTATGTGTAAATATACCCTGGTATCTCTTTGTGTGTCTTAATTTTCTTTTCTTATAGGAACACCAGTCAGATCAGATTAGGGTTCATCCTAACAGCCTTGTTGTAGCTTAATCACCTCTTTGAAGGCCTGTTTCCAAACACAGTCATGTTTTGAGGTGCTAGGGATTAGGACTTCAACATATAAAATGGGAGGGGAGGGGATGGGCAGTGCACAATTTAGCCCATACCACCTAGTGATGGCAGGTAGGAAGAGGGATTACATAGGGACAGAAGAAAATTTAGGGGACTGATGGAGATGTTGATTTTCTTGGTTGTAGATGATAAATTCCTATGGGCATAGATATGCCAAAAATATTCAAATTGTACATATTAAATGCATGCAGTTTTTTAATGTGTAAATTGTATCTCAATAAAGCTGTCAAGACATGTTAGAAGAGCTGTGGATTGAGTTCTTATAAAATCGCTGCAATAGGACAACTATAAATCATATCAATACCATTTTAGAGTAACAGGATATATTTCAAGCCACATTCCAGATAACAGCTGTTTTTCATAACTTTTGTGGACAAATGTTTGCTAGTAGGAAATATAAAAATCCTCTTCTGTAATTAGAGATCTCATAATCTGATTGTGAAGACATTGCATGATGTATATAAAAGAGAAATGAGCTATTTTGTTATAATTGGTTCAAAATATTTTTTGTCCAATCAGTAAAACCAATCCCTAGAGCAATTTTCAGAAGAGACACATTCATAGGACAGGGCTCTGGCACCCACGGCTCTGAGGTATAATGTCCAAACATGCAGGAAACCTCATTTAAATTTGAATTAAATTCCAAAAACATACAGCTTCCTAAAGCAGCTCACTCAGTCCAGTCTGGGGATATGTCAAATTTTCACTGCAATGAAAGACAAAAGGCAAGAATTAGTGAAAATAGACTTACCAAAATGTTCCAAACAAGGCTGAAGTGTTACTAAATTGTACTATAGAAAATTTTCTGAATGTCATTACTATCGGTTGACATGGTCCCAACTCAACAGATCACACAATTAAAAAGTATTGCTTAGTAATCTGTTGGGCGATTGTTTGCGGGGTCAACAGCAAAACGGAAGACTATTACTGAGGAAACTGATATTTTTTTCTTGACAATTTTGGTACAAAAATAAATAAAAGTTAAGGGAGGGGCAGGGAGCATCCAATGCTAGATAACACACTTATTTATCAGATTATTCAAGAAAGGGAACAGGGTTTCTTTTCCATTCTTTTCTCCATATTAATTTAGTCTACCATTCTTCTCCATGTTAGTTAGGAGATGGTGTGTGTAGCTGACACAAGATGGTATTGTGCTCCTTCAACTTGCTTCCTGCGTGAGAAGCAATCTCTGTGTGTAATTGTGCCACAGATGTATTCAATGTGAGAGCAGCACCTCCTAGAAAAAAAATAGTACTTTGTTTATTAAATATGGTTTAAGAAAATGTAAGAGTAGCCTCTTTTCTAGTTTTAAACATAAATGAATATTTTTGTGATGCTCCTGGCATGTGGCCTCAAATATTAATATTTGTATGTTCTAATGAAATGCTATTCAGAACATAAGAAAGAACAAATCTAATAGAGAAAATTAGAGAAAGAATTGTGCTGTCTGTTGATGCTATATTTAAAATGCTGCAGCAGCAAGTTCATCTTTTTTTGAAAAGCTATACCGTGGAAAGACCAATTATCTGTTTATGTTTTTTTCTTTTTAAACTTCAATGGGCTTTTCAAATCACAATTTTGTTTTGCATAATGAATATCTAGCATTTAAGTATAATGCTAAAATTTGAATACAAGATTGGCCGAATAGTTTTATTACTGACAAGAATATTGTTAATGATAACATTTTGCAACCATATTATACCAGGAAATTAGTAGCACCAAAAAGATTAATCTCTAGCCTGGATATCTGGTGCACAAGTTCCCTTGATCTGAAAAACTTGTCTCTTTCATTTCCACCTCAGAAAACGCCCATATTTCAAGGTACTGCTTATTGTGACTTTCTCAATAAACCCATCCACATCTTCTGGTTTAAGTGAATCTCATGTGCTCCCATTGTGCAAAATACATTTCTCACAGCACTTAGGGTAGCTTGCTATGTGATAATTATATTCATAAACATGTATCTCCTCTATAAACATACAAATATTTTAGAATTAAGGGCAATATCTTGCTCATTTTGATTCAGTGTTCCTAATGTGGGGTAAAGAGTAATTCACTAATAAATATTTGTAAATTGCCTTTTTAAATTAAAAAGATATACAGAAATCTCGAATCAACCTCATATTTACTACTTATGATTAAATAACTTGATAGTATAAAAATTATTCTTCATTCTATATTCACAGATAAGCATTTCTTTATGATGAAAGATCTGAGGTTTATTTCCATACTCTTCAATATATTCAAATTGTAACCTCTCAGAGGTCAGGATTATCTTGACTCTGTTTGAAAATCCTATAGATTTTCACATTAAAATGTTTTATTTCATTCTGAACTGGCCTCTTTCAAAAGCAATTTTAAATGCCCATTTCGAAGTGTTGCTAAGACAACTTATAGGAGATACAGTTAGGGAGCTAATTAAGCTCTGGGTATAAATTAGTTCAGGCAGCTAAAGTCTGAAAGGAAAAGGGAGAGCAGGTCTACCATTTCTAAAGGTACATAGTGGAGACAATTGCCCTTTTTGATAAAATGTTTTAGGGGAATCAGTTTCAGGAGGATGAGGCTAATTCCATAGCCAGCTGCTATGATAACCAAAAGTATTGAAATGTTAGGACAACTAGATGTTTTGAGTTAAGATTCCAGGAATACCTAATATTAATGTAAATTAAACACAAGTCACCAAAGTTTGCTGTAAAGGACCAGAGAGTAAATATTTTCGGATTTGTAGGCCATATGGTTTTGGTTACACTACTCAAATATGTCACTGTTGCAAAATAGCCATAGATGCTAATAATTTAATAAGGTGTCCAGAACTGGCCCTTGGGCTATAGCTTGGTGACCTTGTTTAATAAAGTACAAATGAAGGAAAAATTGGAAATACTAGAAATACCAAAAGTCATTACAATGACTATAGAGAACCACATTATGAGAGTAAGAGCAGAAGTAGCCAAAAACTTGACTTAGAAAGAAGCACTAAACTGTCACAAATTGTGGTTAGGCAGCAAAGAAAAGTAATGAAGGAGTACAGAGTCCAATTATTGAGTAATTAGTTGAACATAATCTAAGTATAGTTGTAGAATAATATTGAAGAAAAATTTGTATCTTAGATTACAAAGAGTTGGACACTTGTGATCTCTTGTAGATGTGACAACTGTAAAAAGGACTCAGTGTATTGACCTGTGGACTGGGGAGGAACTGAGAACAGTTGCTTAAAAGTTAAAATAACTGTAGTGGCTTTTTGTTCCTTTTTATGACTTTCCTTAATGACATAGAAAGCTGAAAAGAATACATTAAAAAATAAAATAATCTTAGTTCCTCTGAGATGGTAATTTTGTTTTCTTAATCATATAAGTGGTTATTTTATTCTGGGAAGATAAAGGTTTGAGTATAGAGCTGATAAGATAAAGTAAATATTAATTTTACATAAGTTCAGCATAATCTGTGTATTTTTAATTAAATGTTTATTTTTGAGAAAATTCAGCATTTTAGTCTTGAAAGTTTAATTTGAAATGTGTAATTGATATTAAACTTATGGGCCAGGCATGGTAGTTCACACCTGTAATCTCAGCACTTTGGGAGGCCGAGGTTGGTGGATCACTGGAGGTCAGGAGTTTGAGACCAGCCTGGCCAACATGGTGAAACCCCGTCTCTACTAAAAATTCAAAAATTAGCCGGGGATGGTGGTGCATGCCTATAATCCCAGCTTCTTGGGAGGCTGAGGCAGGAGAATTGCTTGAACCCAGGAGGCACAGGTTGCAGTAAGCCGAGATTGTGCCACTGCACTCCAACCTGGGTGACAGAGCGAGACTCTGTCTCAAAAAAACTTATGATTTTAAGTTAGACAATATAAGGAAAACCTGACTAAATGTATTCATTGTTTACATTTTCAAAATAAGTTGATTTACCATAAGTTTAATTTATTAGATTTATATAATTTGATTAAGGGTTAATATTTTGCTTCTTTGGGTTATGTTCTGTCAAGCTTTCAAACTGCTTAAAAATAAAAACAAATATTTTAAATATAAAATTGAAGTTTAAAATATTTAAGAAACAACCCAATTTTATGAATGGAGTTAGATATTTAAGGAAATTTAGTCTTTTTAGTTTGAGACGATCCAAATTTTTTCTACAGAATAAGAAAAATCTTATTTTTGTATAGAAATAGGTAAATTTTAAATAATATAATAAGATTTGTAGATTGAAATCTTAAGAAAAATAAGGTTTAGACAGTTCATGACAAAAAAATTTACTATTAATGTTAAACCAGAGGAAGTCTTCAGAGCTGTCATCTTTCCTAAAAACTTACAGTGGCATCTAAGCACAGTAGAACATTTGAATCAATTTATGGAATACATGTGGTGATGATGATGATACTGATGAGCACTAACACTTGTTGAATCCTTACTTAGTGCTAAGCACATAAGAAATAGGACCTGATTTAATTTTCCCAAAAATATTTTGAGGTAGGTATTGCCATTATCTTTACTGTGTAGACAAGAAACAGGCTCGGGGTGTCTAAATATTTTGGCAAAAGTCACACAACTAGAAGGTGGAAAAATTAGAGGGAATAAAGTGAAACCTTACACAAAGAGCAAATGCCTAAAACCTTTCACATTCTTTCTGTAAAACTATCTAGAAAATATTTAAGAAGTGGAATGTGGACTGTGCTTTCAAAAATGAGAGTAAAAGAAATTTCTTTCCAAACATTCTAAAAGAGAACAGGATTTATTAACCTGAGTTTCAAAAGCAATTAAAAAATTCTTTTGGTAATTGTTGGTTGTTAGAAGGAAGGAAAGTGTCAGTTTAGATGCAGGAAAACACCTCTAATTTCCTGTAGAATATTTACATTTTTCTGATAATACTTTACTTTATAATAGATTTGAAGTGAATTTTCATACATACACAGAGAATTCCATATACACTTAGAAGGCATATATGTATGTATATGTGTATGTATACGGTGTTATGCATGGTGTGTATTATATGGTGTATATGGGTGTAGAAACATAATACTGGGAAAACAGTGCAAAATATCTCATAATGGCTTTGCAGAACTGGTTAAAGGTCTACATTTAGTAGCTATGCAGTTAACACTATTTATGTTGGCTTAAGGTCAGTGATGCTGTCTTGTTATTCCTTTTGGCATTAATAAAACTCATGTTGGGATATACAGATTCACTGTAGGCAGTTTACCCCACATACTTTCTGATAAGAAACTAATAATCCAGAATGAATGAACAATTTGTACTGAATATAAGTAAGTATCTTACTTCCTCAGAAACTCAATACTTGTGAGAATTATATATGCAAAATTATTTTTAAAGGGAGATTCTAATATGGCATCATAGTGACAAATCATGGCAATACCTTTCTCTCTTCATCTCACCTTCAATACTACATACACACAAACATGCAACTCACAGTCCATATGCATATAAATATAAAAATTTTATAGCTAAATATATATGTGAGTATGTCCTAGTATATTTGTCTTCAACACAGATTTGTAAACCAAACACAAAGGAAATGACACTGTATAGTTTCAGGAATAAAGATGATATATACCAATTGTTTAGCTCCTGTGAGCTAGGGTAAGAATTTTCAAATCCTCAGTCAGCAAGTGTTTATTGAGTGTTCAGAATTCCCTTACAAATGTGTGAAATAGAACAGTTCAGTAATATCACCTACCCCAATCCTATCACAATATCAAGAGAAAAAGTTATAAAAAATACATGCCTATGTTACATGGATTTTTACTGGGATTTTTACTTTTTGTTTCCAAAGATGAGTTATAATTAAAACCTCTTGCAAGTGAGCACACATTATTCATAGTAAGAATAATTCCTGTTAAATAATCTAAAATTTTTGACTATTTTTCTTCAAATAAAGCGAGAATATGTGGAATTAATAGCAAATATTAAAAAATAATCTAGAAAGCATAAATAAACTCTCCATGTGTGCAAATCTATCAAGAGTATTATAAGGTGTGAATAGTTTAGCAATAAGGTTTTTATGCTGGCTTTTCATCATAGAGCATTGCTACATATTATTGTAAGTAAACATTGACCATAATGAAATAGATAGCATTTCCACAAAGCTAGTTTTTAAATGAAGGTTTTGTGTCTCACAGTATATTTTGTAAATGAAGATAAAAAATTATAAATATCTCCATAGCATAGCATAGAGCATTTATAACAAGAAAAAATTAAAATGGTAATTTTATATATACTGTATGTGTGCTCAAATTTGTTGATGAGGAAACTGGCTAACAAAAGGTTAAATATATACCAGTAAATAAATACAGAATATAGCAGAGAGCTGTAAGCTGAATTTAGGTCTTCAAATTTGAACCCATTGCCCTTTCCACTACCTACCAAAAGATATGTTTATTATAAATAACGACTTAATAGACTGAAATTAATGTACATTTACAGCTCATTACATATATTAATTTAAGCATGAACAAATCACACTAATGAATTGAGCAGGTCTTAGGTCGGTGACTTTCAGGTGTCAATCTTGCCCAATATC
This sequence comes from Homo sapiens, assembly GCF_000001405.40. NCBI lineage: Eukaryota > Metazoa > Chordata > Mammalia > Primates > Hominidae > Homo > Homo sapiens. The sequence goes on along the minus strand of NC_000009.12, from coordinate 31,598,521 downwards.
TTCATTTTAAAGATGTAAAAACCCATAATAGGCAAGATATTTATTTTCAGTCATAGCCATGATCAATTATCTATTGATAAAAAATCTGTAATGAACATTGATTTATAAGTTCATTAAAACAACATAATTACTATATAAGCGTTTTCTTGTTGTGGGGGGAGCTGGGAATGTGGCACAGGTAACTAATATGACCCTATGGCATTTATAATTTCTGCTATACCTCTTTAAACAACCTCTAGCCATAAATACTTCTATGTCAAATCCCTCAAAGCCTACCCATTGCATTATGACTCATTGTAATTAAGCTCCAAATTCTTTCACAGGCAGTCAGTGCTTCAATGATTGACTTGTCCCTCCCCACTGTAACCACATCCTGTACAATTTGCCCAGGTATTGACTTGCTCCCACCATGGAAGGCTGCTTGCAGTACTGCCATGGCACTGTGATCATTACCACTTCAGAACTTTAACATTCTTTTTCACCTTAATCTGGAATTTCCTTATTCCACAGATACACTGAGGGAAAAATATTATATTGAAGTATTGAAATTTCAGTTCCCGAAACACAATCTAAATAAAATCTGAACAAAAAGAGTGACCATAATTTTAAGCAATTTGAGGATTACTGCAACAGACTTTACTGAGATTTTTTCAAGTCTAGAAGCAGGTGCAGGGGCCAGATTAAGACATTTTAAATAATGATTGCACATTACAAAGCCGAGATATGAAGTACTGACTCTTCTTTAAAGAAAAACTAGGCTATTCAAGGATAGAGAAGGGCTGGGGCCTGGCAGTGGTTGGTGCCTGTGATCCCAGCCGTTCGGGAGGCCAAGATGGGATGATTGCTTGAATGCAGCAGTTCAGGACCAGCTTGGGCAACATAGCGAGGCAGCTTTGTTTTTTTTTTTTTTTTTTTTTTTTTTTTTCCTTTCTCTGTCTCTCTCTCTTTTTTGAAACAGAGTCTCACTCTGTCACCCAGGCTGGAGTGCAGTGGTCCGATCTCAGCTCACCGCAACTTCCGCCCCCCGGGTTCAAGCGATTCTCCTGCCTTAGCCTCCCGAGTAGCTGGGATTACAGGCGCCCACCACCACGCCCAGCTAATTTTTATATTTTTAGTAGAGACGGGGCTTCACCATGTTGGCCAGGCAGCAGCTCTGTTTTACAAATTAAAAAAAAAAAATAGCCTGGTTGGTGCCACATACCTGTAGTCCCAGCTACCAGCTACTTGGGAGACTGAGGTGGGAGGAATGCTTGGGCCTGGGAGGTCAAGGCTGCAGTGAGCCATGATTGCACCACTGCATTACTGCCTGGGTGACAAAGCAAGAGACGCTGTCTCCAGAAAAAGTAAAGTTTTTTTTTTTTTTAAGTTATGGAGAGAGGTGCTGGTTAGAACCTTTAAAGAGAATGAAGACTTCCCTTTTAGGTTAGAAGAAACTTGGACATGATTTAGGTTCTTATTGTTACTACAGAAAACTGACTAAAATTATAAATAATTGTATTTATAAATACTTATTATTTTGAAGAAACGATCCTTTATTTAACCATGTATGAGGAAATAAAACCTTGGCTTTCTCAGTGCTCATGCAAAACCCTAGCCTTATGAGACTCTTCACATAATGTGAGTATCAGATGTACAGACTTTGGTAATTGCTCTGATCTGAAAGAATAGTAAAACTCCTCTTAACTCCTAGAAAGGGCCAAATGGTTACAATCTAGACAAGGTCCCTTGGTAAAGCTCTGTCAGAAAGGATGTAGCCTAGAATTTGGAGGCATCTCTAGGTCATAGAAGCTGGAGACACATAAGGCTATCTGGATCACAGTAAGATATTTTATTGATATACTGAAAAGCTAGTATAAGGAGTCCCTTTTAGGGGAGCAGAACTCCTTCCCCTTTGTAAGGAGAGAAAGACAATTTTTCCTATTGACTTACCCATGTGTGGGGTGTCAATACCAATGGTACTCACATAGGATACTTGCTCTGGCTCTCATAGCATCATCCTAGGGGTAAGAACTAGAGCAATGGGCAAGGGGGAGTTACACAGTTATTATTTACTGTGAGTCATTTAATAAGAAATCTGTCTCTAACCCAGAACACTTCATATGCAAATACAGGACAAAATTAATGAAGATAAATATTAAAGAACCCAGCAATATGACCCACTACACAAAATCATTCTTTCCCATCAGGCTTAATTATCTAATAAATTTAGAGCTGAATATTCATTCAGATTTACTCCCTATTATGGTTTGTTCATAAAAATCCATATAGGTAGGAGGAAAAAATAACTGTGATTTTATTTTTAGTTTTATCTTTTGAGATTGCACAATGTGATCCTGATATTTTGTAGGAGTACTTTTACTGTTGTTACTTTTCGTGACATTATTCACTAGCTAGTTGTAAAATTGCCTTAAATATTTGGAAAAGAAAATGTGTACTCTGGGATTATTTGGCAAAAGGAAAGTTGATACACATAGAGAGGCCGGTAGTAAACAGATGTGTCTATATACTACCAATTGGTGAATCCAGGTGAGAGATATATTTGATTTCATAGTGCATTTTTGCAACTTTTTGTGTGTTTAATTTTAGAATATTAATTAAATAGACAATCCTTGTTTGATTTTTTAAAAAAATTATTCAATAAATCTCACTTAAATTTCTACTATATTTCAGAATTCGTGATAGGTACTGGTATACAGCTGTGAACAAAACAAACCCTCCTCTGTAAAACAGGAAAATAATACAGTAACAAATATGTATGCTACATAACAGTACCTTAGAAAGCTTTGGAATAAGAAAATAAGATAAAGTGGTCAGGAAAAGCATCTCTTATTTACATTTGCAGAAGCTCCTGAAGGAAGTGAGAGAACGTGTAATATGACTGCCTGGGAAACCAAGTTCTAGGCAGTGGGAACAGCTTCTAGAAAAGCCTGAGGCCTTTAGCTATTAGATAAGAAAAAGGCATTGTTTGGATTTGTTTCTCATTTTCCTCTTATCAACAAGATCATTCCTCTATCTTGACTTCTCTTTCTTGAGGCTCTCGCAATAGATTCAGGGCTGCAACTGTCCATGAACTGATCAATGTAGGCAGGAGAATGCAAGGCAGAGACTAATGTAGGACTGGGTTATATGCTCCATCCCTCAAGATAGGGGTGAAGGAAACTAAACAAAATCCAGGAACTGAGAGCCGTTCCAAGAGTGGGTGATGTCTCAGTAGGAAGTTGGGGTAGAGCTTCCAAAAATGGGTAACAGATTCTTGAAAGTCAAAACTAACAATTGTCCACTACAACTCGCCTTTAGAACTGCTAGTTTCCCTCAAAATATAGGACTGTAGAGGAAACTGAGAACTGAGGTGCCTTCTACTCAGAAAAAAAAATTTCAAAATATCTTTCACATAAGAAACTTGTTGGTATCAGTACAAGTTTTTCAGATTCTACTTAGGGTTTAATAAATGATGACCCAAGAAGACTTTACAAATCATGGCAGGAAAACCATGAATCTGCTAGTATAAATGTGATATTACACACAATTTGTACTCATGATTGCTATGGAACCAACTATCCAGAAAAGTCATGTAAGCAAGCAGCTTGCTTACTTATAGAGGCATATATATATATGGATTTGTTTCTCATTTTCCTCTTATCAACAAGATCATTCCTCTATCTTGACTTCTTTTTGTATATATATATATATACATATATACTTCTCTGTGTGTATATATATATACACACACACACACACATACGTGCATATATATAGTACATGCTTTATAGTTGAGAAACTTTCCTAATGTACATTTTACTCTACAAAACTTCTGTTTCTCCTTATCTCTCCTTTTCTCATTCATCAAGGGGAGGAGCTCTGCTAAGCCATTTTCCTATAGTTCTGACCTCAAATAATCATAGAAAATTTGTTCAGAATGAATAAGATTGGTAAGTGATTCTGAAATCAATTTTTTGGTTGTTGTTCTAGAGACAGAGTCTCATTCTGTCACCTGAGGCTGGAAGGCAGTGGTGCAATCAGCCCGCTTCAGCCTCAAACCTCTGGGCTTCAGAGGTCCAGATTCTCCGGCCTCATCCTCCTAAGTAGCTGGGGCGACAGGTGCACACCACCATACCTAGGTCATGTTTTATTTTTTGCAGAGACAATGCCTGGCTATGTTGCTCTAGCTGGTCTTGAACTCCTAGTCTCAAGGCAATCATCTCACTTCAGCTCCACCAAACATTACAGATGTGAGCCACTGTGCCAAGACTACTGTTGTTTTTTAAATATAATGCTTTGTAGGAAGCGACTCTCTTTCCCTCTTTTCCTTACTCTGTCCATTAAATAGGAGTTTTAGTCAGTCATCTAAGAAATGTGAGGGAGAGGCTGGGCGCGGTGGCTCACGCCTGTAATCCCAGCACGTTGAGAGGCCGAGGTGGGCGGATCACGAGGTCAGGAAATCGAAACCATCCTGGCTAACACGGTGAAAAACCATCTCTACTACAAATACAAAAAATTAGCTGGGTGTGGTGGCAGGTGCCTGTAGTCCCAGCTACTCGGGAGGCTGAGGCAGGAAAATGGCGTGAACCCGGGAGGCAGAGAGAGAAAAAAAAAAGAAATGTGAGGGAGAGAGCTTCTGAGTTTTTCAATCCATACTTTCTTTTCTTTACAGAAGATGTGATCTGTGATAAATAACTGGGTAAGAATGGGAAAAACAGTTCTGAATGGGGAGAAGTCAACCTGTCCCCATACCCCTCGTCTTCTTTCTTATTCCTTTGTATGGCTTGCCACAGTTCATAAACAATCTTTCTCTCTGTTCCTGCTGCTTCTGTGATATTAGGAGATAAGTTAGTCCAGCTCTGCCATTACCTAGTGTGTGACCAGGGATTATTGCATGAGACAGTTGAGGGAAAAGAAAATAAATAGACAATTTATGTAACAAGCCTAAGGTGTGTATTCCAGCTGTGATTTGCCAACAATTAAACTTAAATGTTTGTTGTCATGAAGTTTCTATGTTCATTTTTGGTGAGTTCAGAACTTAGAAAACATTGTAATGAATCATTTTCACAAACCAAACAATTTTGTGTGCATTTTATAATTCTGTTTTTAGTGATGCCTATTGCTTAAGAGAGTATAGTACATAGTATTGTTGCAAGTAGTAGTAGTAGCAGCAGTAATAGATGTCATTGATAAAGCTTGCTATGTTCCACGTATTATGACTAGTACTTGTCAAGCTAAAAGAAGAAATTGAGGCAAAATTCATAAAAATAGAAAGTTTATTTGGGCCAAATTTGAGGACTGAGTAACACTGGGAGCATGGATGCAAGTTGAGTATTTAAAGGAGAAAGAAAGAGGCAGTTCCTAAGTTGTGTACCAGTAATTTATACTAATATTAAAACAACATAACCTATTGATCGGTTATACATTGTTTCCTGTATCACACATTCCAGGAACTTGAAGATAATGGGTGTGGAAGCTAGTCAAGAAACTACAGAGAAGAAAAGAACAAAATGCTTCTAAACTATTGCCCTGGGGCATGGGTGCCAGGGTGGGAGAACAGAAGGGTGGAAGTTTACATGACCGAAGTTTTCTCATACTCTAATCTCTCTGGACCTGATAAATTTTGCTTACCTCACATAGCTCAGACTGCTCTACTTTTCTTGTCTCATACTTTATAAGCTTTTTGTTTTCCTTAAATACAAGAAAAAATTCACATGTTGAAGCCCTAACCCTCCAATGTGATGGGCCCTTTGGGAGGTAATTAGCTTTAGATAAGGTTATGAGAGTGGGCCCACGTGATGGCAAGTACCCTTATAGAAAGAGATACCATAGAGATTGCTGTCTCTCTTTCTCTCTCTCTCAGCCACATGAGAATACAGGGAGAAGGTGGCCATATGCAAGCCACAAAGAGAGCCCTCACTAGGATACCACTGTGCTGGCACCCTAAACTCAGACTTCCAACCTCCAGAACTGTGAGAAAATAAACTTCAACAGTGGATGGTATTTTGCTTTGGCAGTTCAAGCAGATTAATTCAGGATGTTTGAGTAATGGCCTTTCCAGTGCCTGTCACTTTAATGTATTAAGTAGTTTAGCATAATGTTCAAATTCTGGTCTTAAATAAGGTATTGAAATGCAAAGATTCATTTTTATATAATTTAACAATTAGTGCTTTTCATTAATAATTTTTAAATAATATGTATAGATACCATTATTAAATATATCTTGGATTAATTTATCTATAGTAATTTGAAGTGTTAAAAGTCAATGTTTAAGATAGTAAAATAATTGATTGTTTCACCTTTTTGCTCTCATGTACTTTGAGATTATATTTAATGTGATCCATTCTACAAGTTAAAAGTTTTTCTTCCAAATCCTACTTTAATATTCAGCAAATACTTTTTATAAACTCTTAAGATTATTCCTAGTATATGTACTCATGTACAAATATTTATTTTATGACTAAAACTTCAAAATAATCTTAATGCTGATATTCCCAATCAAATGAAACATTTATTTGAAAACAAAAATTTGCTTTATTGCAGCTCTGGTTATTAGTACTTCTGTAGTTTGTTGCTACTTTCACATAAATAGAACCCCATTTATCAAATATTATTTTAAGTGAAGTAATTTAAAAATGACATCAAATTGTTACACTAGATTGGACAATCTTGACTTACTTTGTAGTATAAAAGAATCACTTTACTTTGTTGAACTTTTTAAAAAATGAATGAATTATTGCAATATTGCCTTATAATATTTAAAAAATTATTTTATAGTCATTTTAAAAACACTTCTACAGAATTATATATTCATTTAAATTTGACATGCCATTCTTAGCATTTATAATAATGCTATTATTAATAGTTTGTTAAAAGTTGCTTATTCAAGTTGAATCATTTTCTTTTCTTATTTTTTAATCACTCTCTTTTAGATGTGTCTCATCCATTTCATGAATAGAGTTTTGCTTTGTTAACCCATTTGAAGTTATTTTAATAACTGCATTTATACCATTTAAATTTATTGATATGAAAATAAGTTTGGTCTTCTATTATGTTATTTTTTTCCATTTAAAATTTTTGCTTTGGATTTCTCTCTGTGCTCACTGCAGCTTCAAGCTCCTGAGGTTTTACTTTTCATATTTAAAGGAAGTTATTCTAATATTTAAGAAGTTTATGAACAATGATATAGTTTAGTGCTTACCTTTATAATTATATATTCATAAAATATGTGTAATTCCTCTATTTCATGCAGGCTATATATTTTACTATGCTTCCTTCTATCTTCCCACTGCCCTACCACTTTTTAATTGTATGAGATTTATCTTTGGCTATCAAATATCTTTCTAATATACAGTTATTGTTGAGGCAGATTGATTTCCAATTGCCCCAATTCTTTACTTCTCCCTGTATCTATGCCCGTTGACTATATACCTTTGCAGTTCCCTTTGAGGCATAGTCCATTTCCCTGCCTCTTTATTCTGAATTTGTCCATGTGACATATTTGTGAGCACAACTGCAATGCTCTGTAGGAATTTCATCAAATAATAAGAATGATTTATAGAGTTTGGAAAAAATAAATAATTAAATATCAGGCCCGATTTCAAATCACATAATCTCATTTTCCATTAATATATAAACAGTTTTATTCTCTAACTATTTTCAGTCCACTAGAAGTTATGTCTTAAATGCTTAGTGATAAAAAGAAGTATAACATGTGCTCATTTCCTTCAAATAATTTATAATCTCATATGTAAGAACCAGAAACATAAATACAATATAGAGTACAGAAAGAGAAATTTTCACCTTTTCGTTTCAGCTGCATGGTCATTACTGGTGCTGAGAATTGTATATAACTAGTGTTTTTAAAAATTATCTTTATAGATAATGAAACTGAGACTAAGGGACATTAGATAATCTTCCACATTGTGCAATACTTACACAGTGGAGGAGGAATTTAAACCTATAATATCTAAATGAAAAAATAAAAGTGTATTACTATTCTCCAGAGAAACAAGAGCATTGTATGTATGTGTATATATATACACGCTCAAACCCAAAGGTCATCTGCTGCAATATTACCTCTTGCTTGGGAGGAGGCCAGTCTTTTGTTTTATTCAGGCCTTCAGTTGATTGCAGGAGGTCTACCTACATTGTGGAAAGCAATCCACTTTACTCAAATCCCACTGATTTCAATGTTAATCTCATTCAAAAACACCCTCACAGAACTGTCTAGAATGTTTGACCACATCACTGGGCACCATGCCCAGCCAAGTTGACACATAAAATTAGCCATTACAATATGCCTGCTTTGCACTACACATAGTGACGCCTTAGGACACATATGATTATGTAATATGATTATTTCATGTTACCAGGGACTTACAGTTATGGGTTACATTATGGGTTGATGCATTTAGTGACGGAATTATTGATTTGTGCAATGCTCAAGTTTTTAACTAAGTGGAAAAATAAAAATTCATATCTTATCTGTCTCTGAGAGTAAATCTCATTCACTTAGCCAAAAGGATACATTTTTCTCTCAACGTGACACTTCCCGAAGTTCACTTCTGTACTTAGTAAAGTGAAATTTGCCCCATCCTTGTAAATAGCAAAGAAAGATTCAGTCTACTAGAATGCAAACTATTTTGTCTAACCCTTTGTTGCAGAGGCAGAGTTTTGAGGACATGTGGAAATGGGAAGTTGAGACACTTGGAAACTTGCAATTCTTGGTGAGCCCTCTGTCATCAGGCCTGGATACAGAGTCAGAAGATATAGGAAATGTTGTATAGTATAAAAATATCCCACATTTCTGTCCTCCAAATAGCACAGGCTTCTAATAATTAATAATTAAAGTAATAATTCCTCTCCCATCCGACACTAAGAATAATCGAATGGTAAACAGCATTATAAAATTTTATTGCCAGAGTATTATTGAAAATCTAGTGAATATATTCTCAGGATTTGCAGTTTTAACACAGTGCTTTCAAAAGACACCCTAGACCTAAGATTTTTGGTTGATAAAGTAACCAAATTATTTCTATTTGTATAATTTTCAAAAAACACATCTGCAGAAAGTATATTCCAATGGATATTAAAAGTCCCTTGTTAGGAGAGAAGCTAAGGAAACCTTGTATTTTAAACAATTTTGCATACGTGTAACTACTGAAGTTGCTGTATAATATAGGAAACAATTTTAAAATGAAAGTAAGATATTAACACATTAAAACTTAGTATAGAGAAATGTAGTAATTGCTGATAAAAGGAATGATAAATCATAGATATTAGACCAGAATTGGTTTTACTCACCATCTATTTGTACATACATTTCAAAGCAATATATATTAAATGTAGCAGATGCTTTTATGAATATTATTTTCTGTACAGAAGTGTAACTGGAATAAAATAATTTTTTAAATGCCACAACTGATTATTTTTAGTTATGAGATAATGCTCTATAATTTAAATAGCCAAGAGCATGATTTCTTATTACCTAGCACATTAATTCAAAGTTGTGGGGTGAAATTCCATTAAGGTGAGAGAAAGTCATATTCACCTATTCAAGTTGCAGTATGACTAATTCACTTTGTTCTGTTGTCTAAAATAAAAATACACTAATTGTGCAAAAATTAGGGTGTGTTGAATTACAGCTGTGTGTGATCAAGAATCTTTATGCAGTACCTGCCTACTCATTTGTAAACCTCAAGAAATCTAATCATCTTTAACACTACATTTAACATTTATGAAGAAAATCTATCATTATGCTCACTGGATATATTTACACATTTATGACTTTTTATCACAACCTGGCCTTTGATGTGTGGCAATCTCTGTATCTGTCCTTTAATTACCTCCCTTACCTTTTTCTCACATTAGATATTCCCAACTTTGATGCCTAAGTACAGTTCACCCACCCATCATTCATTCTTAGAAATGTAAATGCTTCATAAAAGCAATGCCATTTCTTGCCTTACGCATTTTAGAAAAAATAATTGAGGCCATAGGCTTCAAACAGTTTTCCTTGTCCTTTCTGATGACAAGCCAATAGACTATTTCTCCATGCTGAGAGTATGAATGGACCATAGTAATAGTATCCCATTCCACTGGCACTAATCTGTGACTCTTCAGGCCACCCTCTAGCCCTCTGCAAAATCCTTATCCAAAGAGTCACTCACATGTGTTCTCAGAACTGCTCAGTCAGGTACCATATGGCATCTGTCAGATATCGCCTTTGTTACCTATGCTAGGACATGTCTGCCCACCAGGCAGCTCTGCTCTCCTGGGCACCAGTGCCACAGCCACTTGTGTACTGCTGCGTTGGCCAAGTGTCAACATGATGGCTGAGTGCTTCTGTTCCTTTCATTGAGTGCCACCATGCTGCCAAGCCCTGCTGACATCACGTGCCAGGCACAACAGCAGACCATCTGGCACTATGACTTCTGCCATCTCTTTCTAGGAGCTGCTGGGAAAGAGGGCACAGAATTTAAACCTATCAAGTGGCCCGTGATAACATGGGGTAGAATAAACCCTACTTCTTCTCTTAATATTATACTCTAACAGAGGGGACCTTAAGTGTCCTCCTGTGTTTTCTGAGATTTTCCTGAAATTTGTTCATTTCTTACTCAAAGTCCTGTTTTTACATAGGACCTAGATATGAATTCATGAGAACTTAGAGATGATCATATTTGACTGACAAAACTGACAAAAATGATTTGATCCACGAAGTGTCATGTTAAAAGAATGAATACATTCATTAATTGCTTGTTTTGCCTCAGACTTCCTCAGGCAGACCCTAAGACAAGGATTTGCAAGCAAATACTTTATTAAGTGTTCCCAGGAGAAAACAGTAAGGGAGTGCAAAAAGCAGAACCAGGAAAAGGAAGAGGTCAAACAAGGGTGCAATTTTAGGTAAAATCCTGGCTCCAGTCTGATGCCATGGGGAGCTCTGTTGCGCAAACTATACCTCAGAGTTTCTTCTGTGAGGAGGTGGGATTTCTATTTTTTAATGTTTATTTTTTAAAATGACAAAAATTATATATTTATCGTATACAACATAATGTTTTGCTATATGGAGACATTGTGGAGTGGCTAAATCAAGCTAATTCACATATGCATTACCTCACACTTTCCATCAGTCATTGGCTCTGACTGCCCTGAGGTGGGGAAAATCAAACATCAAGCACTTTCTACTGTCTGAGCAGGCAATGGTGGCTCAAGTAGCCTGGGGCATTTGTTTGAAGGCAGTCACAGATGCTAGTTATTAGAAGCAAAAGCACATACATGGCAAGGGAGGGATGCATAGAAAAAGTGGAAGGGGTCCCGGGAGATCTTGGCAGGGTACTGATAGGGTCCACTGCACTCATTTACTAGTGGTGGCTTGCTTCGTTTCTCAATATGAGAATAAAACAATCCTGAAGCCAGCAGAGCCAAAATAAGCCACAATGCTTTTAGAATTATATGGTCATTTTAGTTCAAGGCGACTTTTTTTTTAAACTACAGCAAAAGGATTTTCTCATATTTATTTCATAGAATCATATATTTTTGAAACAGAAGGGAACTTAGTGACTATGCACAGCCTCCCAACAACTTGAATTCTACCCTGTCCTCCAGCCTCACAACTGTCTAGAATAGTGTCACCTTTCAGATGTTGAACAACTTGTTAATAGAGCAGCTATAATAGCTGTCTTTCTGTTGCCACTTTTATATTATTTTCACAATAGTTATTTAACTTGCAAAATATTTCAAAATACAGAAAGAATAAAAAAATAACAGGTACCCATGTTCTCATCAATCATTTAAATAGATATTATTTGACCAAAAATTGGCTGAGGGATCTTTTTTCTGATACAAAAGAGAACATGTTATAAATTCACATAAAGTGTCAGCCTTCACCTTCACCAATACTTTCAGTAATAACTTCTCCTACAAAATGAATCACTCTCTGAAAAGGGCATGTTATTATTCTTTAGCTTTTTTTTTTTTGTAATGTTGCTACATTTCTTTGTAGAAAAATAAGTGAATATTATCACACTTTAACTTTTTTAAAAGATTTATTATTTTGATACTCATACATCTAATTTATTCATCTGAGCAGCCTTAGAATGTTTTATTACATTTCCTGAGTGAAGGACACAGTAAGGATGTGTTCCTGTTTTAGTATTAATAAAAACAGTGCCAATTAGATTTTATGCCTATTTTATATTCGAGCAGTTTTTTTCTATAGGAAATGTGGTATTGCTAGGTTGTAGTATACATGCATCTTCAACTTTTTTTTTTTTTTTTTTTTTTGAGACAGAGTTTTGCTCTTGTTGCCCAGGCTGGAGTACAATGGCACAATCTTGGCTGACTGCAACCTCTGCCTCCCAGGCTCAAGTGATTCTCCTTTCTCAACCTCCCGAGTAGCTGGGATTACAGGCATGCACCACCACGCCTGGCTATTTTTTGTATTTTTAGTAGAGACAGGGTTTCACCATGCTGACCAGGCTGATCTCGAACTCCTGACCTTAGGTGATCCACCCACCTCAGCCTCCCAAAGTTCTGGGATTACAGGCATGAGCCACTGCACCCGGCCACATCTTTGACTTTTTAAGTTTTACTCTTTAGAAATATACTTTAAAGGAATTTCTTGTTTACAAAAATAATTTATAAATTATCTAAAAAAGTCATAATATTTATTTTAAAATAATTTATTACTTAATGTTCCTGAAACATCATCTTTAAGATAATGGGAAATTATGATTTGGGTTAAGTGTGCTTATTTATTTGATTGCTTTTTATTTAACTGAATCAAAATTTCATTTGCTGTGAATTATTATGATAGCATTAAGGATATGGATGCCTAATATTAAAATTGTGTTAGCTGTGGACTTGGAAAGTGCAAAAACCTTTCAAATTTGCTCCAATTTTTCACTCATAGGGTATCTCCTAAATCAGATTGGTTTTTTTATGACTAGCCATATGTAGGTTCTATTTTCTTTTCCTTTCCCACTAAATAAATTTTGGACATGTGTTAAGTCTATCTCTAGAAATGTGTTCATATACAGCCCTCCAACTCTCACATCTATGCCTAAAAGTGCTGTGCTTGGAAACTGATAGAAAGGTATGCTTTTAGCTCTATCTCAAATTTATTTCTCATGCATATCTGTCTTTTAAAGCACAAACTCTTTATGCATATAAGTAAATGCTGACAATGCCAAAAGCTATCCAATACAACATAAAAGAGTTAAGGTTTCCAGTTCTCTTGATATTTTCTCCAAGGCTGTCCTCTTTGAGATGGGTATGGTGTTGTGTTGAAAGGGGTATGATATTAGTGAAAAGGGACTTGCTTTGCTATCTAAATGTAAAACTAGTTCTATTTTATAAACCATCCTCTTCTGAATCAGGTTTGCACTGGAATGCTGTCTGAATTCCAGGGCAAGGAGGTCTTCATGTAGCCAGTAAAAATCTCAAAATATTCTGTCACTTTGTGGTCTTTGTCTTAACCTTAATTATCTTAGAATTTTTAGAGTCCATGATGACATGAGGGAGTGAGTATTGAGATGGAACATGAAAGGATTATAGGTAAAAAAAAAATTCATTGAAGGATTAAAAATAAAAGCCAATTCATGTAATATTCAAGGTACTTTCATATAAAAATTTATTAAATGATAAACCCCAATTCTAAATGGTTAGTAGATAATTATTATTCCCATTTTACAGATGAGAAGGCTGAGGCTCATAGAAAATAGATCATTTGTCTAAGGCTACAGAGTTTGGTTGGAAGTTTTCTGATTCATGCTAGTACTTATTGCTCAGTATAGTCTGATGGCATTTAAGTTTTGAGAATTATATTACAACAAACCTTGGGGACATCAGTTCAAAATATTAATAAGATCTTCAGTTTTCTCTCCAACCACTCAGAGTACATCAGCAACCTTGACCCAGGTAGGCGATTCCAATGGAGCTCTTCAATTTCAGCACATTTCTTGTTTTCTGACCTACATAAGCAAATTGTGTTGCTGGCACAGGAATTAAAAGCAGCCACATTGTAGCCTCTCTAGAAACAATGTAGTATAGGATTTAAGAGCATAAACTAGGCTCAGGATTCAGTTGCTTGGGTTCAAATCTGAACTCTGTGGTTTATTGTTATTATTTATCATATGACTATGGAACAAGTATTTAACTTCAATTTCCTCTTCTGTAAAGTGGAGATAATAGCACCCACCTCACAGAGTTGTTGTGATGAAGAAATGAATCATAGAGTGCCAGAGAAGCATGCCTGCCATACCGTATGTGTTATATACTTGTGTGATGTTCTTATTATTATTATAGTAAGGGAATACTGTAATTAGATAGTACATATTCTGGCATAGGTTCTCTAAGAGCTTGTCTGGACCGTCCAGTCTGTGCACCAGGATCCTGTCTATAAAATGGCTGCCAAGCCTTCCCCAAAAGCTTCTTCATTGACTCAACAACAAGAATCCAGAATGACAGTTATGACACAAATATGGGAACTAAACAGAGCTTTCCAAACAGTTACCCCAAGCTAAAGAACGTATCAGGTCAACACAAATAGCACTCAGGAATAAAAGCAATGTGATTCTGATATTAGGGACAAGGTGAGACAACAAGACGGGGCAACTATAATGTCTACCTGTTACTTGCCATTTCACTGGGAAGCATGAATGAAAATAAATAATAACAGTCCAAGGGAATGCATGGATTTTTTTTCATGTATCAATTAATAATGAAGACAATAATAGTAACAAACTTCTGGTCATGTATTCCAGCAAAATTTCCTTTCTTTACATTCAAGCCTCTGTATCCACTTCCTCATTTCCTGTTCACTATCCAATCCCCTGCTGTTTGATTTATTTCTTCATGGTTCCTTTCCTGTCATAAGCAGCCTAAGTGTCCATCAACTGATGAATGGATAAAGAAAATGTGATACCTATACACAATGGAGTACTATTCAGCCATAAAAAGAATGAGATGCAGTCATTTGTAACAACATGGAAGGAACTGGTGGAGATCATTATGTGAAATGAAGTAAGCCAGGCACAGAAAGGCCAACATCACATGTTCTCACTTATTTGTGGGTTCTAAAAGTCAAAACAATTGATCTTATGGACATAGAGAATAGAAGGATGGTTATCAGAGTCTGGAAAGGGTAGTGGAGGGCTGGGGGAGGTGGGGATGTTTAACAGGTCCAAAAAAATAAAAAACAAGAATGAATGAGTAAGACCTATTACTTGATAGCACAATAGGGTAACTATAGTCAATACTAACTTAATTGTACATTTTAAAATAACTTGAGGAGTGTAATTGGATTGCTTGTAACTCAAAAGATAAATGCTTGAAGGTATGGATACCCCATTTGCCATGATGAGCTTATTTCACATTGCGTGCCTGTATCAAAACATCTCAGGTACCCCATAAATACATACACATACTGTGCACCTACAACAATTTTTGAAAATAAAAAATATGAAAACAAAAAATCTCTAGGAGTATCAACAATAACATTGCAATAACTGATCACATGGGTGACTGATTTTAGTTGTAACAATGAAAGAAGTCATCACAATTTTAAAACATTGAGCCATTTTTGTGGGTTTTTAGTGGCATTAAACTTATTGCTGGTCATTCTCCTTGGTAGGGCTTCCTGGCCACCCCTTTTGACTTAGTTTAGATTTAGTCTTAATCTGTCTAACAAAGTAAAGTGTTGTTCAGTGACCCAATCTTATTTTTATTATTCTTTCACTTATCATTGTATCTTCAGTGACTTCTGCCTTCCTGGTTTAGCTATTGTTTATATGCTGATAACTTTGAAACAGATGTCTTCAGTTTTGATTCCCCTGATGGGAGGGGGATCAATGTGAGCTTTTCCATCAAAGACAAGCTGAGTGTTACAAATGTTGGGATGCCCTTAAAAATATAACTTAAGAAATAATTATACTAATTTGCCTTTGTATTTTTCACAGTGGAATGCATGGTACTTCTAATGTTAAGAACTTACAAGGCACTAAATACATACTAAATAAATGAAATTAATTGTGTAAATTCTTAAAGAATGAAGAAGCAGCTGCTCACTGTGCGTGTCTAAATTATTAAATATAAATTTCTTAATATAAAGTTTAAACTTTGAGAAAAATATCTCCTCATAAATTGAAAAACTTTCATCATTGTTTATAAAATGCAGCCACAGAGTTCTGTGCTTCCCTGAAGAACACACCATGTGTTCCCAACAACTTCTCAGAAGTAAAATTCATTAACCAGCTGTTCTGTGGTTTATGTAAATTACTTTTCCTGGAAGAACTCAAAACTGTAATCAATCAATCACTCAAAAGATTAGTTAGTGCAGTTAAGTCGATAATGCTCCCAGTAAAGTCAACATTCCATATATCTGTTTTTGTTACTGATCTGTGATCCTGGAAACAATTTCGTGTTTGCTGTGCCTCATTCTTTCTAATTTTAAAATAAGGCCATAATGGATATTTCAAAAATTATATAAGATAAAATATTCTAAGAAAAAGATAAATTACATTGATAATTAAATAAATTATATAATTTAGGGTGTTTTGGCCATAAATTACAACCTCATGGGATTCCAAGTAATCAAAACATTTTTCGAGAGACAATAATATCTTAGGTGAGTTTTTGAACTCCACCCCCCCGAATTTCGTAACAATAAGTCCATGAAATAGGTATTATTATCTCTGTTTTAGAAATGAAGAAACTGAAGAAGGAGGTTGAGAAGAATGATTAGAGCAGAAAGAGAGTGTGTGGGTAGTGGTGCTAGTAGAAAAAGAGGGGAGAAATAAAATATAATGGATTCAGAGAAATTGGAGGAGTAAAGAGCTTCTTGAAAGAAGGAGTGTTTAATAAAGTCAAATATTAAAGAAAATTATGTAAGATAAGATAGAGAATTAACTCTTACTTTTGAGTATTAGAAGATTCTGGTAAATTTGGTAACACTCACTTTAGTGGGAAGGTGGAGGAGGAAACCAGAGTTCTAGAAGCAGAGGAATAGTGGGAGGTGAGGAAGCTGATCAGCAAATATGCTCCATCTGGGGAAACCATGCAAAGGTAAGACACAAGGCTGAAAAATTGTGTGAGTGACGCAACTTCTCAAGAAAGTTTTTATTATGGTTCTTATTATTTTTCTTTTTTGTTAGTTTTACTAGTGACATTGCTCTGGGACATTTATGTGATTACAAGCAGGAACCAGAGATGGGGAGAGCCAAAAAAAAAAAAAAAAAAAAAAGTAGTAAATAGGTTTGATGATGGAGAAGGTCCCTAAGTTGGTAGGAAATTATTGAATCCCAAGCCCAGGTGAGATACTTCAATTTCAATCAGGAGTAACAAGCAAAGCATAAAATGTCAGGGGCAGATAGAGATGAACATAAACAAAATAGATTTGGGGTAGACTGGGAAGCTGACTTAGGAAGAAAACAGAAGGCCCAGTCCCCTGGGACCCTATTTCCTTGGGGCTCAGAGTCTGATGTGTCTGATGATACTTTCATTAAACTTCAACAAATGAGGATATTAGGGACTCTACGACAGGATATTTTAGATAATCAGAAAGAATTCTGAGCCAGTGAGGTGGAGACATGCCACACAAGCCATGGAGGAAAGGGTTAACTTAGCAGGCCTAGGTTGCTGAAACACTGTGCATTCCAAAAAAAAAAAAAGCCCTGTCTTTAGGACTGGCTTCTGGGAGATAACCTCTGAGCCCTTAGAAAATAAATACTCCCTGCTAAGGATGTTTTTGTATGCCTGAAAAGTGTGACTAGATATGTTTATCCTAATAATATGATTTATGGTGAACACATATTTTTGTTCTGGGTGCTGGGATCTGAGTAGCTGAGGTCAGTTCACATGAGTCTTACGTGCATGTAGACCTCAAGGCTTAGGTGAGCTTCCCTCAACTGGCATCATTTTGGCCATGGTTGTCACGCATCCCTTCTGGGAGAATTGTATGTCCCTATGTGTCTCCACTGGAAGAACACCTGAAGTTTGCTCCTCCTTTCTCCTGGACTTCACCCCATGTACATTTTCCCTTTGACGATTTTAATTTTTGTTCTGCCATTGTAATAAAAAACAGTTACTATGAGTATAATAGCTATCCCGAGTCCTGTGAGTTCTAGCAAATCCTAGAGCATGAAGGTGGCCTCAGGGACACGCAACTCACATAATAAATGTTAATTATAAATAAATCAACATAATTTACTGTTTTTTAAAAGATGTTTGTTTTTCATGGCTTAGTGAATTGTTTATTTATTATTCATTTATTGATGAAGTGCCCACTAAGGTCCAGGCACTATACTAGGTAGAGAACATAGCTTATGAGCCTATGTCTCCACTCATGGAGCTTGGGAGAAGCACAGAGGTAACAAGTTAAGAAAAAAATAAACAACCTCAAATATGGTAAGTGCTAAATAGTAAATACAAACTCACCAACAGACAGACTGAGATGGGGTCACTTTAGGTGGTATGGTCTTCATGGAGAGAGAACTTGCTGGACAGAACATGCAAAGATCTGGATGGAAGATCAGCAAATTTAAATGCTCTCAGAGTGAGAATCAGGTTAACATATTTTTTTGAAAAGAGAAAAGACAAATTGACTAGAGAAATTAACGAGAGGGTGATTTGTAAGAATGGAAATCATAACTTGGAAAATATTACATATATATATAGTTGGATTACATATATATTTTTTCCATATATAAAAAGATACTAAAAAATATATACGTAGTCGTTTATATATACAAAAATACATGCAGTCATCTATATATAAACATATGTAGTCCAACTATATGTATAAACATATATATAGTCATTTATATATATAATTGGACTACATATGTTTATATATATAATTGGACTAATATATGTTTTTTTCAGTACCCCTTATTGACATGAACAATCTCTTTCACTTTAGTATATGGAAATCTTTTACTTTATCTTTATACTCATTGGTATTTTACTGTGGTGTTTTGGTTCAATATAGTAACTATTAATCATTGCTACCATGTTGACCAGAATGCTTTTCTTTGTATTTGAACTAAATAACACAGAGAGTACAATGCATTTGAACATAGTTTTTAGTCTTTATATTTTCTACTGTAAAGATGATTTGAATTTGTAGCATAGTTCTCCATAGAATTATAATAATAATTTTTCAAAATCTCTTTGGTAAACCCTTCCTATTTGATTTAAGACAATTAATGGATATATAAATCGGATATAAGAAATCATCTAAAGGCTTTTCACATTGAATTACTGTCTTGTATAAATACTTCTTGATATAGACACCCATTAATGACATTCCTCTTTCCTCGAGCACCTGTTCCTGGTAAAAACAAGGGCTATATTGATTTGCTGCAATTTATCTTCTCCCAGGATTTTTGTCTTGACAGTGTGAGAAGATTAATTGGAATTAATGGCATTTGCACAGCTAATTAAAGTCACTCTTCCTAAAGTCAAATCAATTCCTTTAATCAGAAGAGTGACAAAGCTTTGCTTACTTGTTATAGTCTGCATGTAAATGTTCCCTGGATAAATCAGAATCTCTGCAAACATTAGGCACTGAATTCAGTAACTACTTGGGTTGGCCGGGAATTTCTCTCACACTTAGTAATTTAGTATCATTTATACCACTTATGCATATACTATGCATGTTTTAAATTAAGTGCAATAAAACAATTTACATGTATTATATATGTAAATATATAGTATATCTTTAAAAACACCTACATGTATAAATCCTTAGGATAATTCTTAGCTAAATGTATTAGCCCATTTTCACGCTGCTGATAAAAACATACCCGAAACTGGGTAATTTATAAAGAATAAGAGGTTTAATGGACTTACAGTTCCACATGGCTGGGGAGGCCTCACAATCATGGTGGAAGGCGGAGGAGCAGCAAAGTCACCTCTTACGTGGCAGCAGGCAAGAGAGCTTACATAGGGGAACTCCCTGTTATAAAACCATCGGATCTCGTGAGACTTTTTCACTATCACGAGAACAGCACGGGAAAGACCCGCCCCCCATGATTCAATTACCTCCCACTGAGTCTCTCCCACAACACGTAGGAATTATGGGAGCTACAATTCAAGATGAGATTTCGGTGGGGACACCCCCAAACCATATCATTAAAGATCACATAATCCAAGAGGAAGTACGGAATTAGTAATTATTGGTCCATTCAGGCATCAAATCTGTATTTAGTTGATATTGTCTGATTTTATCACATTCTGCCAATTCCTTTCTCCACATTGGCTATATATGTCTGGAGTAGTTGTTCATTAAAGACTGAATAATTTAGCCAAAACGAATACATATTTCTGAGGGAAAATTTAGGCAGATACTTCAAAATTTTGTCTCTGTTGCTGTTCACTGTCAATGCAACAATGGTGTAGCATTAAATACAGGAGTGGGGCAATGAGAAAGAGGACCTGTGCATTTCCTTCTTCATTATGTTAGAAATAATATATTCCAGACAAGAAGGGAGAATAGAGAACACATAAAAAATGAAGCAGGATAGTATTTGGGATGAGCTAAAGACAGTTTGTAATATAAGTGACAGTAATATTTGCTCTGTGATTGTGTAAACATCAAACACTTATCAAATGTCCCTGGCTACGTTTTTGTTTTGGATACCTCTTGGGCACAGCTTAACAGTCTCTTGGTCTGTCCACTAAGCCCAGTCATAGCTGTAATGTTCTCAGTGGGCTTCAGCCTTTTTTAGTACTAAGCAGCTGGCCTCAAATATTTATGGAGCCTCTTTTTCTTTCAGAGCTGTCTCATTCTGACAATGAACACATGCATTCATGTATGTGCAAACTCAAAATGCAGGGAACTAATGCGTCCTCAACAACCCAAACAATGGGGGGCAGGAAATGATAGATTAATCTGTAACATATTCTATAGGCTCCCAAGAAGGGGGACTAATTAGATCAAACACTTTAGTCACAGATACAGCTAGTTCAAGCAAACCTCTGTGAATTGGCTTACCTGCCTTTCTTGCCTTCATCTTTCCAGCTTTTAGTTCTTCACTCTTGCTCTCTGGGACCACTTTTCAATTAACCCAATTAACCTGTATCTCTATAAACAGCTTTTTTTTTTTTTTTTTTTTTTTTTTTGAGACGAATTCTTGCTCTGTTGCTCAGGCTGGAGTGCAATGGTGTAACCCCGGCTCACTGCAACCTCCGCCTCCTGGGTTCAAGTGATTGCTGTGCCTCAGCCTCTTGAGTAGGTGGGATTACAGATACTAACCACCACGCCCAGCTATTTTTTTTTTTTTTTTGTATTTTTAGTAGCGATGGAGTTTTTCCATGTTGGCCAGGCTGGTCTCGAACTCAAGCGATCCACCTGCCTCGGACTCCCAGAGTTCTGGGATTACAGGTGTGGGACACCACACCCAGCCCACAGCCCTTATTTTATACTCTGTGCTCAGGGAATACAGGCTATGATAGTTGTGATGTATGCATGTGATGATGTAATGCTGCAATAAACATAAAATCTCTGTAAAAAATAGCGTGAAGTAAAAGTGTAAGAACTGATCAAGAAAATAATCCAAGATTTTAAAACCACACAGAACCACTACTATAGTTTGAAATTTGTCCCCCAAATTTTGTGTGTTGAAAATTTATTCCCCAAATTCATATATTGATGGTATGTAGAGGTGGGACCTTTGAGAGGTAATTAAGATTAGATAAAGTCATCAGGGTGGGGCCCCATGATGGTACTGGTGGCTTGTAGGAAGAGGAAGAAAGACCTGAGCACATACACTCTTGTTCTGTCTTGCCAGATAATGTCTTCTGTCATGTTATAATGCAGCAAGAAGGCTCTTATCACATGCCAATGTCTTACTCTTGGACTTCTCAGCCACCAAAACCATGAACTAAATAAAGTTTCATTGTTTGTAAATGTCTCCAGTATTTTATCATAGCAACATAAAATGAACTAAGACAACTGCTTTTTTTTTTTTTTTTTGAGGTGAGGAGAGGAGGGGTCATCCCAACATATGGCATATAAAAATAAATAGATTGGCCTTTGAGAATTTATTATTTTTCATGCATTAATTTGGAACAATTCAGTCAATTGATGGTGACAGTACCCTTGGTACATACTTTTGATTGATTAACAATGATGAGAGATGCATTAATTGACTTGGAATCAGGTGATCTCCAGTTATTGAAGCATCACTAATATGTAGATATCATTTTAAAATATGTCTTATGGCATTTCTGAGATTTAAGTTAATTTAATTTCATTACAAAGTGACCTACACATGAAGTAAATATATACAAACTTACAGTTAAGTGTCTAGTATGTAGAAGACATACCTAATAAATGTTTAAGTAAATATTTAAGCCTATGTATTATCAAGTATTCATAATAACTGTATCCTACTGTGTTGTTATCCCAACTGCCTAAACCCAGTAATTTGTACTCCAACAATCCAGTTAAGTTCACAAAGTTTTGTAGCCCCTTGCTCTGATTTTACCTCTTCTAACTATTTGAAATGAGCAACCAGAGATTTACAGACTTATTTTCCTCTCATATAAATAATGAGAAGTCTGTTGGTTATTAAAGCCCTTACTTTCTAAACCAGGATTAAGAGAAAAAGTTGCTATTCTTTCTCCCCAAAGAAGCAAATCTAAAAAATAAAATCTAAAATAAAAGCCAATATCAGAAATTTTTAGAAATTAGCACAGAAACATCAATCCTCCTCTGAGTTTATACTTTGAGTTTCAGTATTGCAGATAATTTTTGTAGGTTTGAGCTGTGAGAAGAATATGTCAATGCCAGTTGAGAAAAAAAAGTTAAAAACAACAATAAAACTACATGAAAAAATCATCTTGATATACTATATTAATTAAAACAATCAATGAAAGAGAGTAACGACTAGAAATTTTTTGAGAGATTAGTACAGGTGGAGTGCCTAGTAAGGTAGAACTTTAAGTTGTGTCTAACTGCTTCCATATATATGAGCTCCTAAATAATTTGTCAAGGCTTCCCAAGGCTGACTTCTGTAGATAATAGAAATTTTCAGATAATGGGAGGGAACATAAGAGTGTCTTGTCTTAGTGATGTAAATAAGTCTCCTCTAAAACTCAAGTTGAAAAGTAATTGCCATTGTAACAGTATTAAGAGATGAGCCCCTTGAGAGGTGACTAGGACATGAGAGCTCTGCCCAAAACTTTCTTTTGCCCCGTTTGTCCTTCTACTGTCTGACCTGTGATGATGCTGCAAGAGGGCCCTTGCAAGATACTGGCACCTTGATCTTGGACCTTCCAGCCTCCTGAACTGTGAAAAGATAAAATTCTACTCTATAAATTATCCAGTCTTAAAGATTCTGTTAGAGTAGCACAAATGGACTAAGACAAAGGACCTCCTATTTTTTTCCACTGGAAGTCAATAAAGGCTTTCTTCTTAATAACTTACATTTAATACTTAGCTTTGAACATGGCATATATCATTTTGCTTAAGGATACCAGGGTATTTCTGTTAGAAAATTGGTTGAGAAAACATATCCCTTCTGTATCCAGCTTCAAAGATAGCAAATTTTATTGGGATAAGCATGTGTGATATGCATCAAGACCCATGATTGGAAAGTAAAAATAAAGCCTTTCCAAAACAATTTTCCCTGACTCACTGTGATTTGGTTTCTAGGACCACATTAATAATGAAGGAAAAGGAGAAAAATTTTCAGGTGTCATTAAGAGGTAGATGGTAAAACCTGTTGCAGTATAATTGAATCCTAGAACGTGACTGTGTGAGTGAGTTTAAAGTTATTACCTTATAAGGGAGGACTATGAAGTTAGGAATATATCCATTTTAACTAAATAAAGCTGAGAATGTGTTTCTTCCTTAAAAATAATTATGATCAGGGGAGGAATCTGTACTCACGCAAGTGGCAGCATTAGGGGAAGAGAGTTTGTCTAGTCACGTTTTCATCCACAGCCCCCTCCTAACTAGAAAGAATGTTTTCCCAAGGGAGATAGCAAGTTTCCACAGAAATTCCTTCTTCACTGCAGAGTCTGAGAGTGTAGAGTGGTGGAGGTAATAGAGTTGGGAGTGGGTAATGTAACATAATCTGGCAAAGGGTCTTGGACTCCTTTGGTTAAGGACCTTCAATTGAGCATTATACTGAAAGTGATATAAATTTTTTTTGAACAACCTTCTGAAGCCTAAGCAAGAGGGTTTGAATATAATTATGCCCTCCCTCAACACTGCATTGCTAGCTACTAGACACAGTTGCCACTGGATAAGCAATTAGTTGCTGGGAAAAACTGGTTCCTCAGCCTGGAATGACTGGCATGAAAATTCTCAACTGGCTTTAGCATAGCATGATAGGAAAGAGTGAGACAGATATTTCTTCCCCATCCTTTAGTATGAGTCAGCTTGAGCCAGCTTGTATATTTGTGACGAGGGTGAGGATTGTAGTAAGAGTGAGGATTGTAGCGAGAGTGAGGATTAGACCAAAATTGTGGCTAATCTAGGCATGCTAATATAGGCTCTGAATTTTGTGGTATCACCAAACACTTTATTTGCCTTCAGATTATATTGTTACCTGCTCCAGGTGCATATATAAGGCACCTAGAAGAGGCCTGGAACATAGTCATTGCTTACCAATTGTTAGTTGCTGTTGAGGGGTGATCACCATTATTTGATGAATAAAAGTTCTCCTCTGGTTGCGTAGAAATGAACTGAGAGTCACCAATCCCTCTTCCTCCCACATGTGGGAGAGAAAGCACATGAGCTGAGCTCCTGCAAGATCACCAGGAGTTGGGCAACTGGTGTTTTTCAGCATTCTTCTGGGCATCTGACATTTCTAAACCCAGCGTATTTGATGCTCAAACACAGAATGTTGATATTGGCTTACAAGGCTACCCCTACATGTATTTTATACAGAGAGAACTCAGGAGGATATTTTGTCCTAGAACTTGTTGTATAGTCAGCTATATGTTGCCCAATCATGTCACTTCTCAGAAGAGGTTTGAGGACTCATGCAACATGAATACCTTATATCTATTGATTCCAACTTGTAGCTGGGAAGGTTTGCTAATATTTTCAGCAAGCTGTTTGGTGAATAGTTACCACTTTCATTATTGTAGGACATATCATATGTCTAAAGGGTAATTATTTCAGGAGTAATAATGATTATCAATATTCATATATTTTATTAGCATACATTGATATTTGGTTTCACACTTGAGAAGGAGGTGCCCAGGATGGCAGTTTTAGCTAAATATTGCTAAAGTCTAAGTGGCACAGAGGCTGGACACTTAAATTCTAGCAAGTTTGCATATAAAGCAAGATATTATTTCAAAAAGCACTGGAACAGAAAAAAAAAACATGATGCTCTCATGAATTAAAAAAATGACTGAGGGCTGACAAAGAGGAAATGGAGAAATTATCTCTGTTCCCAGATTCAAAGGTAATAACCTAAAGGGGAGCAAACTTAAAAGAATGTCTTAAGCCACAATGCAGAAAGCCACTTGGCATTATGAGTGTAATTCAACAAATGTGGAATGAATGCTTGTGAACGTGGAAAATATTAAAGTATCAATCAGACGCATCACACTGCCTGACTATAAAAATATTTTAAGGTTATCATAACCAAAACAGCATGATATTGGTATAAAAACAGACACATAGACCAATGGAACAGAATAGGGAGTCCAGAAATAAATCCATTCACTTACAGCAAACTGATCTTTTAAAACAACACCAAGGATATACACTGAAGAAAGGACACCCTATTCAATAAATGATTCTGGGAAAATTAGATCTCCATAGGCAGAAGAATGAAAATGTACTCCTGTCTCTCTCACCATTACAAGAATCAACTCAAGATGATTAAAGAGTTAAACATAAGGCCCAAAACTATAATACTACTTGAAGAAAATACAGGGGAAACATCTCAGGATATTGGTCTAGGCAAGACTTTATGGCTATGACCTCAAAAACAGGCAACAAAAACAAAACAAAAATAGACTAAATAAAACTACAGTAAACTAAAAATCTTCTGCACAGCAAAGAAAACAATAAAGAGACAACTTGTTGATTGGGAGAAAATATCTACAAATTATTCATCTGACAAGGGACTAATATCCAGAATATACAAGAAACTGCAATGACTGAACAGCTCATCATCACTGGTCATCAGAGAAATGCAAATCAAAACCACAATGAGATACCATCTCACGCCAGTTAGAATGCAGTCATCAAAAAGTCAGGAAACAACAGGTGCTGAAGAGGATGTGGAGAAATAGGAATGCTTTTACACTGTTGGTAGGAGTGTAAATTAGTTCAACCATTGTGGAAGACAGTGTGGCAATTCTTCAAGGACCTAGAACTAGAAATACCATTTGATCCAGCATACTGGGTATATACATAAAGGTTTATATATAATTCTACTATAAAGACACATGCACACGTATGTTTATTGTGGCACTATTCATAATAGCAAAGAATTGGAACCAACCCAAATGTCCATCAATGATAGACTGGAAAAAGAAAATGTGTGACACATACACCATGGAATACTATGCAGCCATAAAAAAGGACGAGTTCATGCCCTTTGCAGGGACACGGATGAAGCTGGAAACCATCATTCTCAGCAAACTAACACAAGAACAGAAAACAAATACCACATGTTCTCACTCATAAGTGGGAGTTGAACAATGAGAACACATGGACACGAAGGGCACATCACACACTGGGGCCTGTTTGGGGGTGGGGGGCTAGGGGAGGGATAGTAGGTGATGAGTTGACGGGTGCAGCAAACCACTATGGCATGTGTATAACTATGTAACAAAACTGCACATTCTGCACATGTACCACAGAACTTAAAGTATAATTTAAAAAAAGAAGAAAGAAAGAAAGAAAAAGAAAACAAATCATCCTGACCACAAAGGGGCTGGGTGAGGTGGCTCACATCTGAAATCCCAGCAATTTGGGAGGCTGAGGCAGGCAGATCACTTGAGGTCAGGAGTTCGAGACCAGCCTGGCCAACATGGTGAAACCTTGTCTCTACTAAAAATACAAAAACTAGCCAGGCAATTTGGCATGTGTCTGTTATCCCAGCTACTTGGGAGGCTGAAGCAGGAGAATTGCTTGAACTGGGAGTGGAGGTTGCAGTGAGCTGAGATCATGCCACTGCACTCCAGCCTGAGCAACAGAGCAAGACTCCATCTCAAAAAAACAAAAAAACAAAAAAAAAAAAAAAAAAAAAGAGAAAGAAAGAAAGAAAATGGGCAAAGGACATGAATAGACATTTCTTGGAAAAAGGCATGCAAATGGCCAACAGATATATAAAAATATCTTCAGCATCACTAATCATCAGGCAAATGTGAATCAAAACCACAATAAGATATCATCACCCCCAGTTAGCATGGCTATTGTTAAAAGGATAAAAAATAACATATGCTGATGAGGATGTGGAGCTTCTACACCATTGGTGGCAATGTAAATTGTATAGACATCATGAAAAACATGACGATGATTTCTCCCAAAACTAAAAATAGAACTAACATACATACCAGTAATCCCACTGCTAGATATTTATCCAAAGGAAAAGAATTCAGTATATCAAAAGGATACCTGCACCCTCATGTTTACTGTAGCACTATTCACAACAGCAAATATATGGAATCAACTTGTGTCCATCAACAGATGAATGAATACAGAAAATGTTGTATGTATACACAATGGAATACAACTTGACCATAAAAAAGAATGAAATCATGTCATTTACAGCAACATGAATGGAACTGGAGGTCATTAAGTAAAATAAGCCAGGCACAGAAAGACAAACATCACATGTACTTAGATGTATGAGCTAAAAAAGTTGATCTCATGTAGAACGATGGATACCAGAGGCTCAAAATGCTGTGTAGGTGGGGGTGGGAGGATGAAGAGAGGTTAATTAATAGGTACAAACATACAGATAGAGAGAAGAAATAAGTTCTTATTTTTGATAATAGAGTAGGGTGAGTATAGTTAACAACAATGTATTATGTATTTCAAAATAGCTGGAAAAGAGGACTTGAAGTGTTCCCAAAACATAGAAATGATAAATACTCCAGGTAATGGATACCCTAAATAACATGACTGATCATTACCCATTCTATACATGTGAGAAAATATCACATGTACTCCAGAAATATGTACAAATATTATGTATCAATAAAATAAATTAACTTCCAACCAGCAGCTGGATTATTAAAATGAATTATTAATGACTTTTACCCTTCAAATAATTCACATTTTGAAAAAGAAAAAAGACATGGTATAATTCATTTTATTTATTTCTGGTATTCATGTTTCTAAAATGGATATATGACTTCCAGCATTAGAAACAGTCTTCAAAACTTTCAACTACCATATCTTTTATGATGGTTATGATGATGATTATTATTTTTCATACAAGATCTCACAATATCACCCCGGCTGAAATGCAGTAGCATGATCATGGTTCCTTGCAGCATTAACCTCCTGGGTTGATCCTCCTGCCTCAGTTTCCCAAGTAGCTGGGACTACACGTATGTGCCACCCATGCTAAACTAATTATTTTAATTTTTGTAGAGATGAAATCTGTCATGGCTTGCCCGGGCTGGTCTCAAACTTCAGGTGATCCTCCTGTGTTGGCGTCCCAAAGTGCTGGGATTGTAGGCGTGAGCCACTATGCCTGGAGCAGTTAATTTTTAAAAATAAACATGTGGATAAAAAATGAATTTAACACACTCTTTTTCTACCTAAGTCCAGTAGTCAAATAAAACACATTTGATCCCAATGAGAATTATTGTATTTTTCCTTTTAGTAATGGACACCCAAAATTACAGAATTCATAAGGACACAGTTTGAAGAATTATCACAAAGCAAATATACATATATAATGACTTTCAGATTTTAACAGCAGCCCAAAAGCTGTCTCTGTGTCTCTGCCAAATCTCTACCACCTACATATTATTTAAAAGAAACCACTATCTTAACTACTTAGAATAGAGATTAATTTAGCTTGATTTTTTTTGAAATTATATATATAGAATCATGTGACATATATTCTATTATAACTGGGTTTGTTACTAAAATTATGTTTGTGATTCATCCATATTTTTGCATGTGTATATTGTTTAATTTTATTGCTTATGGCATATTAGTGTATGAAAATATCAGAATTAATTTATATATTCTATTGTTGATAGACAATGTTTCTCGTTGGTTTTGATGGTGATAAAATATCATAAGTATTTTTTATGTATGTTACACATCTTTTTGAAGGCAGCTACGCTCACCACTATACCACCAACACTGTACTGTTACATATCGTTTGTTATGCATATGCATGAGAATTGGTTTTGTCTGAAATTTAGTCTGCAGGACACTGGGTTCGATAGTAGATAATGCCGAAGACCTTTCCAAATATTTGTACCAATTTCCATGTCCTTTAGCAATGTAAGAGAATTCCCATTGCCTATTTCTTTGTCAGTCATTGTCTCAGACTGCTCTGGCTGCTATGACAAAGTACCATAAACTGGGTGGCTTACATGCAACAACAGTTTATTCCTCCACTTCTGGAGGCTGGGAAATCCAGAAGAAGGTATCAGAAATTCGCTGTCTGGTGAAGGCCTGCTTACTGGTTTATGAATATCTGTCATCAGCATCCTAACATGGCAGAAAAGGAGCAAATACACTTTCTAAGGGCTCTTTTAGAAGGATGCTAATCTCATTCATGACCACTCTGCCCTCATGACCTGCAAACCTCCCAAAGGCCCCACTTCCTTATATCATGACCTTTGGGGTTTGAATTTGAACATATAAATTTGGGGGGCACACAAACATTCAGAACATAATAGTCATTATAATTTATCCTATTCTCTTTTAGCTGTAACATCATTTCATTATATTTTTTCCTTTGCATTTTCTTGATTACTAATGAACATGGGCAAATCATTATATATTTATTGAAGCTATAGACAGTTTCTTTGGTAATATGCTTAGCATGTTCCTGACACTTTGCCATATTTTTTTGGCCTGTCTTTTACTTGTCGATTTATAGTTCTTTATATGTTTTGGATATGAGATCATTTTCATTTATCTGTGTGGAAAATAGTCTTTTTTCCATTCTAGATAGTTTGTGTTGTCCTCCCTTAGTTATGCCATTTGAGCAGTAGAAGATTGTATTGTTATTGTGTTCAATTTCGTATTTTTAATTAATTTATTTATTTTTAATGCTGTTTAGGAAATATTCCCTTACCCCAAAGACTGGCAAAAGGCCATTAGGATCTGTGTATGCTACCCAAATGTTACAAGATGGGACATGTCAAAGAAGGTTTGAGAGAGAGTTCAAGAAGGGAGACTGGCAAGAAAAAGACAGCTATCGAATACAAATTGGGGACTTGAATCTTTACACATTTGATTAGAAGAGCATTTCAGGAAATGGAGATTTGTCAAAATCCTAATTAAAGCAAGAGAACACAAGTTCACAGACTCAGAAAATCGGGCAACAACATGTTAATATCATGGAGCTACATCATTGAGGACCTGATTTCTAAGGGAAAAAAGGAAGGAATTTGTTGGTTGTATTAGACCACTGTGTTATGTGTAAATGGGCAGAGCCAGGGGCTTGGAGGTCTATACTTATCAGTTACCAAACTTCAACTAGTAAGAATGCTGAAAATCCAGTGAATTGGATATTTGAACTGATAATGCCTGATTTTTTTTTTTTACATTGAATAATAATCTTTCAGTGAAATGAAACTGGATGGAGTGTTCATGTGAAATGAGGGAGAAGAGAAATTGAGAAATGAGAATCAGGAGACAACTTGCAAAAAAAAATAGGAAAGACAAAGCTAGAAAGGCCTACTTAGACACCCCAGCTATTCCTTTATACTTCTGAGAGAGATAGCATCCTAACACTAGTTTTGGGAGGATCATTTACCATTGATAAAATAACATTACAATGCTACTGATACACTCAAAACATCAAAGTCAAAATAAATGACTAAAACATACAGCTAATTATATTATATACTTATATATGTATATAAACCATTATCTACCTCTAAAACTCTTCCTGCCTAAAATAACATTATTCACCTGCTGCCTCATTTATTCTCATAAGCATGGTAAATTTGTCACTGTGTATTTCAGTTAATTTCTATCTGATTTTGGTAAGAATCCCTCACATCATAAACCAGAAACTACCTGTATTTGTGTACAACTGATAACCAAATACTTTTGCATTTCTAGTGTAATTCTACATGACAGGGGAGGAGTTTCTCCAGTTTCTCTCTTAGTAATCTGAGGAGGTAGACAGGAATTTGTTATATCCACAATGGTAGAACATCTGTAATTATTCCTTTGCTGGGAACAATGCTTGAGAAACAAACAACTAAAGCCTTCTAAAGTCCCCTACTCACAAATATCCCCTTGTTCTTGTTCATATAAATTCCTTCATTCTAATGACAGGGTTTTTGTACCACCTGTTCGCATTTTGCTTTTCCCTTTGCTGCATTATGGGAAATTATAATCCCTACAATTGATGCAGAGGTGGATTCAGAAAGGGCAACCCTATCAGCAACCAACAGAGAGCCTAAATACTCTATCACTTTCTATTATGCAGGAAGATAGTTTCTCACCTCCTTTTAATACGATGAGACTAAAAGTACCTGGCTCAATGCTTGACACAATCTCAGCATTAATATGACCTTTTTTTTTTCTTTCTTGAGGAATTTGTAAGTAACTGGGAGCCATTAAAAGATGTGAAAGTTGTTCATACAGATTAAGTCATTTTCACCATACTCAATCAGAATCAAGAGGTCGGGTGAAGAAGTACTTGGGGCACATAAAACAGCTCCAAGAATATAATTTTCCGCAAGCTGGGTTGCTGAGACTGCGTGCTGTAACCCTAAGACTGCTTTTACCTAATAGCTGCTGAAATGACCTGCTGGGAGACTCTAAGACTAAGACTAGCTTTTACCTACTGCCATCACACACAAATCAGTTTGCCAAACCCTCAAAACTTTACTAATGCCAATGAACTTTTTTTCAAAACAATACACAATATTTCTGTCTTTTTGTGAAACCTAACTTTCTGTTTGTACTTTGAACATACTGAGGACCACTTGGTCTGTGTGTATGCCCCATATTGCAATTCTGTGATTTACAAATAAAATGTTACATTTTAGAGATTTGTCTCTACATTTTATTTTGGCTCTCTCACAGATTAGTGACAAGGAAGTAATTAAAGTTACTATGTTAGGCCACGTTTAGTAAGTTGTGTTGGAGTCAGGGAACATTAAAGCAAACAACGAAGCAGGTAATAGGGCAAACTACTTGGGTTAAGTGGTAGCTATGGCCACACCAAAAATAAATGGAAAAGAGACATGAAATGCCAAAATTAAAATACTTAATTGAGACCACTGAGGAAAGCAAAGCCAATTCTTCTTACTTGCCAGTATCTTAACCCAGAAATCCAATATCGGCATCTTTATAATGATCAAAACTGCCATTATGAAATAGCTTATAATTACATCTATGATGTTTTTCTTATTTTCATCATTTTTATCATGCTGTAAAGTATTTTATTACCAGAAAAGAGGCACTGTATTTCCTTGGTAGTCTTGTTGTCAAGAAGGCTTCCTTTAATAACTCTTCCTAAACTTGCTTTCCCTTAATCACCTTGTTTGATTCTCCACTATATGCTTTTCTCCTTCAACAAGAGTTGTTCTTGACATTCTCCCAATGAAAATATTAGTCAACTGGGACTCTGCCTTCAACCAGTTTCCCTCACCATCCCCCCTAAAAGAATCGAACATAGGAGATTTCTCTCTATATGGGTATTTCTCTCAGCAGAGTTGCCCATTCATAGTCGCGTAATCATGGATTCCCTCAGTTGTTTCAACTGAAACAAGTACTTCACTGTTATTAAGCATTTAACATTTCATATCACTCTTTGTAGCTCTTATGTTTCAATATAAATTCATATTTAATTTGTGCCAGTAATACTCCCAGGAATTATTCGGTAATAATGTTTCCTGTCTTCTCTGCTCATTGAATATCTATTAGTATTTATGCATCCCTAGAGACATTAGTTTGCATCCTTCTCAGCAGAATTATGTTTTGTTACGTTGGGCTCAGAGTTCTGAGACTTTTGCATCTATTTCAGTTGAGTTTCTCTCAATTGAAGTTTTTCTTAAACCATTTTAGATTTAATATTGTTTGAAAATATCATATGTGTTTTGTATATTCTTTCCTACAGCCCATGCTAGTGCTGTGACATAAAGCCAAAGGGAACGCAACCTGGCTTTCTCCAGAGATCTCTCAGATATATGGCTTTTTACTTCTCATCACCTTTTGCTTTAAATAAAGTAGGTTTCTGCTTTAATACTGTGTGAACAAATATATAGCAAAAAGAAGCAGATGGAAAGATAAAAGTAATTAATGCTTTGGGGTGACAATACTAGCTCATATAATCGTATTCATAGCATAGATTCACTGAGGTCATAACATATGCCCTGCTATGTTACAAGTGCTTTATACGTATTGTTTCAGTTAAGGCACACAATACTTCCATAAGTTAGTAATTCTTCTTATTTCTGTTTTTGCAGACAGTAAATTGAATTCCTGACGGATTCAGTGAAATCTGAAAGGTTATACAACCAATAAGTAGAAGATCACAAATCTGTTTTTTAAATGAATATATCTTTGTTCCTTCATTATGCTGTATGTTATTATTGTATGTTTTGTAAAAATTAAAATATACCCCAAACTGAAAATTACTCCTCATCCTCCCATATTGGAAAAAAGAAGAATAATCACTCGGTTCTGTGGTGAGAATAAAGGCAGCTCCTCAAGTAGGTCTTTCACCTACTGAGTGGTTGCCAAGGTATTGGGATTCAGATGTTATAGCAAATATGAAAGCCGTGTTTTTTCTCTTGTAGTTTGCGATATGTATCCTAGCTTGTGCTCAGTATTAGAGAATATAGTTTACAATAATATATCTTATGGGTCTTTCTCTATATTTGGAAAAATAAAACCCAACATTTTGGCATTTATTAGAACAACAGCTTGCAAGAAAACAGCACCCGTTCTCCAAGAAGAGAAATTGCACAGATTATGGTCATGAACTAGAATTAGATTATGTTAACATCTGGGCAAATGCCAGCCTCTGATTATCAACATCAAATTCCTTTCAGTTTCCTTGTGATCACTCTCATTTTTAACCAATTTAGAACTCAATTTTGTGATTTACTAAAGTAGACAAGCATGAAATGGATTTTTCATAGTAAAGGGAAATTCTCAGTGAATAACAATGCTAAGAGTTGGTATCGCTTCTCCAGATTTGTTTTAACTTCTTCACTATGTAGCCCCTGTCTTGTGACAGAGATGGATATATCTGCTTTTCTGGGCTCACAGTTATGTGCTTCCTCAGCCCCTGGAAGTTAGGCCAGTGAAAAAATGGGTATATGTTCAACTCCGAATAAAAATAATCTTCACACAAGTCTACTTTATCTCTTCTAGAGACCCTGGAAGACGTAATAGACGGCAGGTCATTAGTTGGAAATGGACCATGTCCCTCTTCTGTCTCTTCCCAAAACACACACACACACACACACGAGTGCACACACACATGCACACACAAACATTAGATTGTAATGTGAGGGAGCAATAATGTTTCTAACTTAAGCTATTGGATTTCAGGTGTTAGAGCAGTAAGTTTGCCTGGATAATAGAGTTATTCCAGGTGCATAATGGCTAACAGCGCAGAATTTGTGTAAGATATATTTGAATCTGTACAGTGGCCTTCCTTTTTCTGATTGTATGGCAGTTTATTTAACCTTGCTGTGTTTCAAATCGTTCATCTGTAAAATGAAGATAATAATAACTACCTCATAGATTTGTTGTACATATTGAATAATTACACATATGTAGCACTTAGGAAGTAGTAATTTTTGTAAGTGTTAGCTGTTAAACCATTTATTTAGATATTTCAGTTCATTTATCATGCTTCATTCTAAAAAATACAAAATTGAACTCAACTCTATGATATATCTTTTCCTCAAAACACCTGCTCTTATCATAATGTTTTACAAAAAGATCTAAGTAGTGAAAATCATCCTTTGAAAAGGGTAGAACTGAAGTCTCCATTTGGTAACTGAGAACTTGACTGTGCCTCAGACTCTTAAAGTTTACAGATAATATTTTTCTGATATTTTCTGATTACTACAGAAGAGCTTTATATATTTTCCCTGCCCCCACCCAGTTCTAGATAGCTGTTACTTTGTCTCTCTGGGGCTGCATCTCAGATCTCCTCAGATATAAGAGAATTTTTAGGCTTTTAACTAATGGGAAGACCATATTTCACTGTTCGGTGCCTGGTGTCTTTACTCTCAGTCCAGCTTGTGGAACTCTGTTAAAAGTTGTTCAAAGAATCTGCGGTATCATTACAACAAAGCCTGTAACATGGGATATCTATTATCAATCAACTATCCACTATACATTACTCCTATGTCTTTTTATTTGAACTTTTATTTTGGGTTCCAGGGTGCAGGTTTGTTATATAGGTAAACTCATGTCCTGGGGGTTTGTTGTACAGATTATTTTGTCACCCAGGTGTTAAACCTAGTACCTATTAGTTATTTCTCCTGATACTCTTCTTTCTCCCATCCTATACCCTTGTCTAGGCCCCAGTGTCTATTCTTCCCCTCTATGTGTCCATGTATTCTCATAATTTAGCTCCCACTTATAAGTGAGAACTTGCGGTATTTGGTTTTCTATTCCTGTGCTGGTTTGCTAAGTATAGTGACCTCCAGCTCCATGCATGTTACTGCAAAGGATATGATCTTATTCTTTTTGTGGCTGCATGGTATTCCATGGTGTATGTGTACCACATTTTCTTTATCTAGTCTACCATTGATGGTCATTTAGGTTGGTTGAATGTCTTTGCTATTGTGAATAGTGCTGCAATGAACATATGCATGCACGTGGCTTTATGATAGAATGATTTATATTCCTTTGGGTATAAACCCAGTAATGGAATTGCTGGGTTGAATGGCAGTCCTGGTTTTAGGTCTTTGAGGAATTACCACACTGTCTTCCACAATGGTTGAACTAATTTACACTCCCACCAACAGTCTGTAAGCGTTCCTTTTTTCTGTAGCCTCACCAGCTTCAGTTATTTTTTGACTTTTTAACAATAGCCATTCTGAATAGTGTGAGGTGGTAGCTCATTGTAGTTTTGATTTACATTTCTCTAATGATCAGTGATGTTGAGCAGTTTTTCATATGTTTGTTGGCCACATGTATGTCTTCTTTTGAAAAGTGTCTGCTCATGTCCTTTGCCCACTTTTTTAATGTTTTGTATTTTTCTTGTAAAGAGGTTTAAGTTTCTTATAGATGCTAAATATTAGGTCTTCGTCAGATGCACGGTTTGCAAAAGTTTTCTTCCATTCTGTAGGTTGTCTGTTTATTCTGCTGATAGTTTCTCCTGCTGTACAGAAGCTCTTTAGTTTAATTAGATCTCATTTGTCAATTTTTGCTTTTGTTGCAATTGCTTTTGCTGTTTTCATCATGAAATCTTTGCCTCTGTCTATGTCGTGAATTGTTTTGCCTAGGTTGTCTTCCAGGGTTTTTACAGTTTTGGGGTTTACATTTAAGTCTTTAATCCCTCTTGTGATGATTTTTGTATATGGTTTAAGGAAGGGGTCCAGTTTCAACCTTCTGCATATGGCTGGCCAGTTGATAACTGGCACAATTTATTGAATAGGGAGTCCTTTACCTTACTTGCTTTTGTCAGCTTTGTTGAAGATCAGATGGTTGTAGGAGCACAGCCTTATCTTTGGGCCTCTATTCTGTTCCCCTGGTCTATGTGTCTGTTTTTGTATGAATGTCTTGCTGTTTTGGTTGTTGTAGCACTGTAGTATAGTTTGAAGTTGGGTAATGTGATGCTACCAGCTTTGTTCCTTTTGCCTAGGATTGCCTTGGCTCTTCAGACTGTTTTTTGGTTTCACATAAATTTTAAAATATTTTTCTAGTTCTTTGAAGAACGTGAATGGTAGTTTAATGGGAATAGCATTGAAACTATAAATTTCTTTGGGCAGTATGATCATTTTCACAATATCGATTCTTCCTATTGATGAGTATGGAATGTTTTTCCATTTGTTTGTGTCCTATCTCTTTTCTAGCTTATTCTCCATTTCACTAAGTTCCAGGAATACCATTACTAGGATAATCACATTCACTCTTCTTGGAGCCCACACAATCTGTGAAAGCATGGAAAGGAATTTCTCTAACAAGAAATTTCTCTTATTTAACTTCTATTATGTCACAGAAAACAATTATAAGACATTTTATTTTATTTTTTTATTTCAACCGTTTTTGGGGAATAGGTGTTTTTTGGTTACAAGGATAAATTCTTTAGTGGTGATTTATGAGATTTTGGTGCACCCATCACTTGAGCAGTGTACGCTGTACTCAATGTGTAGTCTTTTATTCCTCACCCCTCTCCCAATCTTCTCCCTGAGTCCCTAAGTCCATTATAGCATTTTTTTTTTTTTTTGAAATGGAGTCTCACTCTGTCACCCAGGCTGGAGTGCAGTGTGCCATCTTGGCTCACTGCAACTTCCACCTCCTGGGTTCAAGCTATTTCTCCTACCTCAGCCTCCTGAGTGGCTGGGATTATAGGCGTGTGCCACCACACCCAGCTAATTTTTGTATTTTTAGTAGAGAGGGTATTTCACCATGTTGGTCAGGCTGGTCTCGAACTCCTGATCTCGTGATCTGGCCTCCTCAGCCTCCCAAAGTGCTGGGATTACAGGTGTGAGCCACCATGCCTGGCCATTATAGCATTCTTATGCCTTTGCATCCTCATGGCTTAGCTCCCACTTACAAGCGAGAACATGCAATATTTGATTTCCATTCCTGAGTTACTTCACTTACAATAATTGTCTCCAAATCCATCCAGGTTGCTGTGAATGCCACTATTTTTTTCCTTTTTATAGCTGAGTAGTTTGCCATCGTGTATATATACCACATTTTCTTTATCTACTTGTTGATTGATGGGTATTTAGGCTGGTTTCATATTTTTGTAATTGCAAATTGTGCTGCTATAAACATGCGTGTGCAAGTATCTTTTTCATATAATGACTTACTTTCCTTTGGGTGGATACCCAGTAGTGAGATTGCTGGATCGAGTGGTAGTTCACTTTTAGTTCTTTAAGGAAGCTCTATACTGACTGTTTTCCATAGTGGCTGTACTAGTTTACTTTCTCACCAGCAGAATAAAAGCGTTCCCTTTTCACCACCTCTACGCCAACATCTATCCTAGGGATAACTGCTTTTCCTAAAGCCCTTAATGATTCCATAAGATGGGGATTAGGTTCAGTAAGCCTTTGGTGGTTATTGTTTAGGGGAAAACCGTCATCCTTTCATACTTTGAACCTCTCTTTGCTAGAGGAGAAGCTCAAGGATTTGTATATGGGCACAAAATAATACCCATCAACAATAAGGACTACAAATTCAGATCCTTTTATTTGCCCACTGTAAGTTGCTTCACTCACTAAAACGATTTAGCTTGGCCTCTTTAAAGTTTGTTGAGTGAATCTAGAGATAAAACCCTGGGCATAAGAGAAAATATGAACAGTTCAACATTCACGGAACTTAGTGCAATGGACAATAAGCTACAAAAGAAATAGGAGTGGTATATAGTAGGGAGTCAATTGATGATAGGTATCCCATATTATAGGCTTTGTTATAAAGTCTATGGAGACTCCTTGAACAACTTTTATTAGGGGAGGTTTGTGCTCAGAATCTATAGAAATATTACTTGCCATCTGTATTTGGGCTTACTTAAAGATCAAGGATTTATTTAGAAAGAGGAGTCTTACAGACATCGTTCATCCCCTCAACTTGCATAGGAAGAAATTAAAGGCTCCAGATGCTCAATGACTTGTCCAGTTTCCCTCAGCCGTTAGTGGAAGAGCCAGGGCTGGAATATAGCCCCCAGATACCATATCTGTACTCATTCTACTTTAAATTGCTTCTTTTACTCCTTGCATCTTCTGAGTTTTATATTTGCACCATTTTCCTTTCAAAACCAGATATGTTTGTGTGAACTATTTAATTTTGATTTTTCATAGTTTTGGTCAAATGAAATAAAAAACAAACAATTCAAATATTAAAATAGGACTTACTGTAGAATAGATTTCGAATGAATGTAAACACTCTATTATTAATTGTAACTTAGTAAGGTTTTTTTGCCATTTTAATTAAAGATGTCCTAAACTGGCTATCTTCAAAATGACTTGGAAAAGTTCTAGCCAGTGTCTTCACATAGTTTTCTAGGTGGAACTATAGAAGTTATTGATTATGTTCCCTTTTATACATTGGAGTTTCTAAATGCATTGCTTTAAAATTTAACACTTCACATTTCATTTGATTTGTCTGTTTCTGTTTTTCACAGTCAATTTTTAACTAATTATTTCATTAATTTAGTAAAGCACTAGCCAGCTTACTCATGAACAATCAATATCCTCAATTCAATCTATTTACAGGTTGTCCAATGAATAAAATTTTAAAATAAGCTGTAGAGTCTACCTTTCTATAAAAGTATATGCCTTCAGTGTAGGTACAGCTGGTGATAAAACAGTTGGGAAAGTTTATTACTCACTTTAAAGACAGTATTCTAAGTTTGTTTCTGGAAATTGAAAATATTTCAAGAATTGACATTTGTAATAATAAAAACAATTATAATATTCAAAACTCAATATTAAAGGAATATATTTCAAAATATCTCTGCTAGTGAGTGCTAAATCTGATTAATTCATATATTAGATTAAATATTTTGATAATATTTAAATCTCACTCAAATGAATTTTTTCATTTTTTTTCTAACATTTTGAAGTTTGTGGCTAATCAAAAAATTGACATCATCAGTGATTAAAAACAGATGGAAAAGTCCATTGCTTCTATTCTGTAAAGCTGGAACAAATCTAAGCTCCAGATGATAATACCATGCTGTACCCGTATGATCAAGAGAGTATTACCTTATATTATTTACCTAGAAAGCCAATTAATGTACTCTTTATTATGGCTATTAATATTACCTGCAGCACATCATAACCTATCTCATAACTATACCCAAACGCAAATCTAAGCACATATCTGGCAATATTTTTCTTTTATTCAGAACAGGCATAGTAGCTTTTTTCATTTCTTTCCATTGGAGCTATGGGTGAGATGGGGGAGGTTATCCCAGTTCCTTTCCTTTTGCAGAGTAGCTATTATCTCACCACCCCCATTTTAGTATCCCCTTTATGTTACTGTATTAATCAGGGTTATTCAGAGAAACAGAACCAATAGGATGGTGTCTTAGTCTGCTTTGTGCTGCTATAATAAAATACCACATATTGGGTAATTTATAATGAATAGACATTCATTGGCTCATGGTTTTGGAGACTGGGAAGTCCATGATCAAGGGGCAAGAATCTGGCAAGGGCTTTCTTGCTGCATCATCCCATGGTGGAGGGCAGAAGGGCAGAGTGGAGAGAGGAACTTGCCCCTTTCTAAGGAACTCTCTTCAGAGACAACAAACCTACTCTCATGAAAACAGCTTCAATACATTCATGAAAGCCAAGCCCTCATGGCCTAATAACCTCTTAACAGTCACCACATATATACACAACAGAGAGAGAGGAAGATATTTACTATAGGAATTGGTTGATTTGATTTTGGTAGCCAATTCTCACAATCTTCCATCTGCAAACTGGCCTAACCAGTAAAGCCAGTGATATAATTCAGTTCAAATCTGATGGCTAGGGATACAAGGAAGCTAATGGTGTAAGTCTCAGTGTAGGTCTGAAGAACGTCCAGTGTCTGAGGCCAAGGGTACCAGTGTCTGAGGGCATAAAAAGATGATGTCCAAACTCAAACATTTGCTCTTCCTGTGCCTTTCTGCTCCATTAGAGCCCTCAGTGGATTAGATGATGTCCACCCACATTGGTGTCATGGTCTTCATTACTCAGTATACCAATGCAAATGCTAATCCAGTCTCTTCCAGATACACTCTTCCAGAAACACACTCACAGACACACCTAGAAATAATGTTTTACCAGCTATCTGGGCATTCTGTGCCCTCTTCTATTGACCATCACAGTTAGGAAGGAAAATTACTAATATGGACAAGCAGAAATTCATTTCCTTCCTGAGCCAGACTCATAGGTTGTGTCTGTTAGAAAAAAAAGTGTCATAAACTCATACCAAGCTTACTGTCTTTCACTTTCTCCCACATATGCCTTGGGTAACTAACTCAACTCAAGTCTTTCCCACTGCAGACTTTACCAGTTGTCACAACACACTCAAGTTTCAATTGCTGGTCTGTGTTTCAAGGTCTTATTCTGTGCAGACAGCCAAAGGGGCGTAAGAATCCAAGATTCAATTTGCAGTGTAGGGTTTAGAAAGATGTAGGAAATTCTACTTAAATATCTGCTGTAAGGCAT
Source organism: Homo sapiens (assembly GCF_000001405.40). Taxonomy (NCBI): domain Eukaryota; kingdom Metazoa; phylum Chordata; class Mammalia; order Primates; family Hominidae; genus Homo; species Homo sapiens. Next base: position 31,557,049 of record NC_000009.12, on the reverse strand, counting down.
TGAAACCTACTTTTAACAGAATACTGTATTGGCATAATGACAATTTGATTCTAAAATGATTTGGTATTTTATTTACAAATTGACTATTGTTTCCTATATACGCTAGCATTGGCAATATCAGAGGGAAGTTAAAAAGTAATGGACAGCGTAGTGTTTGGACAGACCTAGACTTTGACCTTTTGTCAAGTATATAAAAGGTCTTGAGATTGTAAAAGGTATTAAGATATACAGTGATAATAGGAAAGGATGATAATCATGTAGAATGTGGTAGTAGGTAGTGAGCATGACAGCTGTAACTACTATATCTGAACAGACTATTTACAAGTGTAAAGGAGAGTCCCCCCATCACTTATCTATTTTCTACTTGGAATAATAAAATCCTACAATTGAAAAGAGAATTATAGGTTGCTATCATGGGTAGTTTTGTGTGTCAATTTGGCAAGATTAAAATGCTCAGTTATACAATCAAACACCTATCTAGGTGTTACTGTGATGGTATTTTATAGATGTGGTTAATATATACAATCAGTTGACATTAAGTAAAGGGGATTATCCTCAATAATGTAGGTGGGCCTCATCCAACCAGTTCAAAGCCCTTAAGAACAACATTGGTGTTTCCTGAAGAAGAAGAAATTTTGCTTGAAGACTGTACCTCCAGATTCTACCTGCCGCCTGTTGGCAGATTTCAGACTTGCTAGTCTCCACAATTGCGTAAGCCAATTACAGTTACTTAAAACAGATCTCTATGTATCTCTCTCTCTCTCTCTCTCTCTACTATCTATCTATCTCTATCTATCTCTACTTATCTGTCATTTTATATCTAGAGATCCTTCTCCTGCTGATTCTTTTCCCTCTGAAAAATCCTGACTGATACAGTGGTATAGTCTGATTTCTCACCCAATGCAGGGATCTCTTACATATATGACAAAAGGTTCTACATTTTTTATTATTTTCACTGGCAGAAAGCACCTTGCTTTTTGAGGTACTCTTTGGCATTGCTGGATCGATTACATAATTTTAATGTTTCATATTTTAAGCCTTATACTAATATTATTATTCCAGCTTAACTGTCCTATGATCTTTCAAACTTAAATGTAAATATACTTAGGGTTTCTTCTTAGTTTATTGGATCTTGTTATATCCATTGAACAAAGTAGCACAATTCTTGTTATAGTATACATTATATTAAAATTCCATATAAAGATACTCTGTGTATAAGTTTTGTGTGAATAAGGACTGTGAAGGAGTATGCCACATTCATATGTTTATTCATGTGCCTTTGTTAGCTTTTCAAAATTATTACTTGACTTCAATCTTGGGATTCTTGAAGCCTACCTCATTGTTACTATTAACTGTTGTTCTCTCTCTTCTCTCTAGTACACTGGCTATGAGTCTGGCTTCAAGTTAGACCACTTTTCAAAAGCTGGAACTGTACCCCAAACCATTTAAATACAACTTTTAGGATTGGGCCTAGGTGTGGGAAGTTTTAAAGAACTCTTCACACGATTCTAGCACTGAGCCACTTCAGTAAGCAAATGCTGTTCTGGAATAAAATAGAACATCCATAGCCTCTTCCCCACACACTACTTTAAAATTTTAAAGATGTTTATCATATCTCACTGTCCCTTTCCCAAATGAAACACTGTATTTATAACTCAAATGATTATTATTTTTACTATAGAACCTGCACAGTGCAGTTTGACTTCCTCTGGGACTCATATTAACTGATCAGAACCTTCATTCAATGTGGCATTCTCAGCATGTTGCTTCTGCAAGTCTTTTGGAGATTATTAGCCTGCCTACTGAGATTCAGAATTTATGAGATAAGCACTGTTTTATGAAATCAGTGTTTGTTTAGCTTGCATTTCAAGTGATACTCAGAGTAGTTTCATTGGCTGCTCTTCCCTATGACTGATTCCAGATCTGCTGTTTAGTAACCCTTTTTTGGATTTCTTCCTCTTCTAAATAAATAACAGCCTGAGATTATAGCAAAAAAACATAGGCTTTGAAATCTGGCACACTGTGAATTGATTTCTTGTTCTACCAGTTGGTAACTAACGGGTCACTTGGGGGAAGCAGCGAGAAAGATTTGTTTTCCTCATCTGTAAAAAGAAGTAATGATATTTTACAGTAGTGGTGACAGTTATAAATAAAATTTGTAAAAGATTTAACATAGAATCTGGCATTTGGAAGATGTCCATTACATTGTATTTATCACTATAGCAGACCTGGATTTAAGGTGGCCACATCTCTTTCATCCTGACCTACAATGAACTATGTTGCAACGCTTTAATGCCAATAACTGAAGTTTTAGTAAGGTAAGTATTAATATTACATAGTTCTTAAAGGTAGAAGGTTAAAAGGGCACAGAGACTGTAAGCATCTACTCTGCAGAGCCCATTCAACACTTCCTGGCTGGGTCAGACATGGAGACTCAGTTATGGACCCACCCTGTCAGTGCTGGTCAACCCAGCAAAGACTGTTGCTCAGGTATGAAACAAGGCTAGTACACATTGACTTATGAGTATCATTTGAGGTAGGTTCATCTTGTTCCCTACCTGCCACACTTTTAGATTAGAACCAGAGTCTACAACATTACACAACATGGGTTAAAGGAGTGTTAGATAGGTAGAAAGGAAAAACACATCAGACCAGCGTCAACAAGAAAACAAAAGAAGACACCAATCCCCCATCCCGTATCTGACATGAAAGCAAAGTGGGGACTAGGGCACTTTGCTGAACCCCAAATTTGGGCCTATGTTCCAGCAGAGAGAGTCTTTATCCCTGTGAGTTTCACTTTCTTTTGGGGGATTAGGATGGGTGGGTGTAGGGTTGTGTTTAGAGGATTAAAAAAATCAGCCTTGTCTGTGGAAGAATATTCAGTTGATTTTATCTCCTGGAAGTCATGAGTTGGGAGCCAGCTGTTCAGAGGTGTTGACTGATAAAAGTACTCAGGGTCCCAGGAAATGTTTCTTAGGGGAAGAAAGTCATTGTTTCAGTGTGAATCTGAAGGAAAAAAAAAGAGATAATAAAAACACTTAAAACTTGCTGAATGCCTTACATAAAACACTACTGTGTGTTCTGGCATAGAAATTGCTCTGAATAAATGGTAGCTATGATTGCTTCCCAGACAACACCACCCAGAGGTTGGATAGCTATAGGGTATATATTAACACATATTATAATAGAAACAATAGATTTTATTTCTGAGTAACTGCCAGCACACTTGCCATTTCATCAAGGTCTCAACGTGCTTTCCTTTATGTGTACTTACAAATTACTATTTTTTGAAATAATATAATTACATAACCCAAGAGTCAAAAATTATATTAAAAGGTTTATTCAGGGAAGGCCTGCCCCTGTCTTGTCTCCATTTATGGGTAGAAATAACCATTTTTCCTAATTGAATACCCTTTATTTCCTTCTCCTGCCTAATTGCCCTGGCCAGAACTTCCAACACTATGTTGAATAGGAGTGGTGAGAGAGGGCATCCCTGTCTTGTGCCAGTTTTCAAAGGGAATGCTTCCAGTTTTTGCCCATTCAGTATGATATTGGCTGTGGGTTTGTCATAGATAGCTCTTATTATTTTGAAATATGTCCCATCAATACCTAATTTATTGAGAGTTTTTAGCATGAAAGGTTGTTGAATTTTGTCAAAGGCCTTTTCTGCATCTATTGAGATAATCATGTGGTTTTTGTCTTTGGCTCTGTTTATATGCTGGATTACATTTATTGATTTGCGTATATTGAACCAGCCTTGCATCCCAGGGATGCAGCCCACTTGATCATGGTGGATAAGCTTTTTGATGTGCTGCTGGATTCGGTTTGCCAGTATTTTATTGAGGATTTTTGCATCAATGTTCATCAAGGATATTGGTCTAAAATTCTCTTTTTTGGTTGTGTCTCTGCCCGGCTTTGGTATCAGAATGATGCTGGCCTCATAAAATGAGTTAGGGAGGATTCCCTCTTTTTCTATTGATTGGAATAGTTTCAGAAGGAATGGTACCAGTTCCTCCTTGTACCTCTGGTAGAATTCGGCTGTGAATCCATCTGGTCCTGGACTCTTTTTGGTTGGTAAGCTATTGATTATCGCCACAATTTCAGATCCTGTTATTGGTCTATTCAGAGATTCAACTTCTTTCTGGTTTAGTCTTGGGAGAGTGTATGTGTCAAGGAATTTATCCATTTCTTCTAGATTTTCTAGTTTATTTGCGTAGAGGTGTTTGTAGTATTCTCTGATGGTAGTTTGTATTTCCGTGGGGTCGGTGGTGATATCCCCTTTATCATTTTTTATTGCGTCTATTTGATTCTTCTCTCTTTTTTTCTTTATTAGTCTTGCTAGCGGTCTATCAATTTTGTTGATCCTTTCAAAAAACCAGCTCCTGGATTCATTAATTTTTGAAGCGTTTTTTGTGTCTCTATTTCCTTCAGTTCTGCTCTGATTTTAGTTATTTCTTGCCTTCTGCTAGCTTTTGATCTTTGACAAACCTGAGAAAAACAAGCAATGGGGAAAGGATTCCCTATTTAATAAATGGTGCTGGGAAAACTGGCTAGCCATATGTAGAAAGCTGAAACTGGATCCCTTCCTTACACCTTATACAAAAATCAATTCAAGATGGATTAAAGACTTAAACGTTAGACCTAAAACCATAAAAACCCTAGAAGAAAACCTAGGCATTACCATTCAGGACATAGGCATGGGCAAGGACTTCATGTCTAAAACACCAAAAGCAATGGCAACAAAAGTCAAAATTGACAAATGGGATCTAATTAAACTAAAGAGCTTCTGCATAGCAAAAGAAACTACCATCAGAGTGAACAGGCAACCTACAAAATGGGAGAAAATTTTCGCAACCTACTCATCTGACAAAGGGCTAATATCCAGAATCTACAATGAACTCAAAGAAATTTACAAGAAAAAAACAAACAACCCCATCAAAAAGTGGGCGAAGGATATGAACAGACACTTCTCAAAAGAAGACATTTATGCAGCCAAAAAACACATGAAAAAATGCTCACCATCACTGGCCATCAGAGAAATGCAAATCAAAACCACAATGAGATACCATCTCACACCAGTTAGAATGGCAATCATTAAAAAGTCAGGAAACAACAGGTGCTGGAGAGGATGTGGAGAAATAGGAACACTTTTACCCTGTTGGTGGGCCTGTAAACTAGTTCAACCATTGTGGAAGTCAGTGTGGTGATTCCTCAGGGATCTAGAACTAGAAATACCATTTGACCCAGCCATCCCATTACTGGGTATATACCCAAAGGACTATAAATCATGCTGCTATAAAGGCACATGCACACGTATGTTTATTGCGGCATTATTCACAATAGCAAAGACTTGGAACCAACCCAAATGTCCAACAATGATAGACTGGATTAAGAAAATGTGGCACATATACACCATGGAATACTATGCAGCCATAAAAAATGTTGAGTTAATGTCCTTTGTAGGGACATGGATGAAATTGGAAACCATCATTCTCAGTAAACTATTGCAAGAACAAAAAACCAAACACCGCATATTCTCACTTATAGGTGGGAATTGAACAATGAGATCACATGGACACAGGAAGGGGAACATCACACTCTGGGGACTGTTGTGGGGTGGGGGGAGGGGGGAGGGATAGCATTGGGAGATATACCTAATGCTAGATGACGAGTTAGTGGGTGCAGCACACCAGCATGGCACATGTATACGTGTGTAACTAACCTGCACAATGTGCACATGTACCCTAAAACTTAAAGTATAATAATTAAAAAAAAAAGAAATAACCATTTTTTTATATTTGTATGGTTTTATGATGCTTCCAGTGTTTCTTTGGGCAAGTGCAGCAAATATATCTACATATTTTTATATATAGCCTTTCTTACAGAAAAAAAATACATATATTATACTATGTTAAGGTTTTTGATTACTTTTGATGCTGCTCTGACTGTGGTAGAAATGAAGAGAGTAGAATGCGAAGGAATTTTCATTTTTACTACAGGCCCGTACTCTTATTTAATCCCTAAAGCAGTGGCTTCTCTCTCTCTTTCATCATCTTGAATTCTGTCTTACAGATCTTTGTATAACTGGTGACCATTTCTCCTTCCATCCCAGAGCCTAACACAACACTGGGCACAAAGAAAGTAATCATACTAATTCATTCTAGTAGATTTGGAGAGATAACAGTGCGACTTCACTTAGCCGAAGCCTTTTTCATTGCTATATAGTAATAGAATGTCATAATAAAGATTGGACAGGAGGAATTTTGGCAACTTTTATGAGCATGTTTGCCTGTGCCAATGATTTGAAGTACTATTGATGTGTGCTGCATGATGTCTCATAATGCACACGGAAGTGCTAGACTAGGAATATTTGGTTCATACTCGGCGTGACTCTCAAATGCCCCATCAGATTTTCATGCAGGTAAATAAAACCATTTGTTTATCTGAAAAAAGGTAATGATAATTTTAAACATTTGTTGGATGAGGAAAAAATAAATATATAAAATGCCTCAGGGTCTGAGACATAGGGTCTTTGCAAAGCATACCACAGTGCTCCTGCCAAAATATCCCTACCTGTTGCAAATTCATACATGTTTCAAATTTCAACACCTCTGTAGGGATAACATTTAATATGTCAGTAAAGTGTGGAAAAATGTATTTTCCTCTTGCAATGAGACAGTTTCAGGTGCTCATAATTGTGCTATACACTCTAAGTTTTCAAATATATTAAAAAATGATTCATAATGACTTAGGCAAAGAACATTATGCAAATGATATACCTAAAATCTAGTTTAATTCCAAAGATTCAATCTTTCTCACATTTTAAATATTAATCATTTGGTTTAAATGTCTGATTTTAGGTCAAAAAAACTAGAATAAAAGCACCAATTTTCCAATGCCCAATTATATCTTAATGTATTTCTGTCTAACCGGAATTTTAAAAAAGTAGTTGAGAAAAGATACTGAGTTATTTTACAGAATAGAACTTGGAGTCTATGAGGACAGTTAATAAAATTTCCATCAAAGAGAAACTGAAAGGAAATTTAATCACTTGGTCAAAAGTATAATTGTCCATTTAGGATCTGAATATTAAATTTAAATGATGGTAGCAGTGCATTTAAATGTTCACACCTAATTCTTTTGAAGGATAAAGCTTCAAAATTTTGTATCATTCTGCAGGGATAAGACTCTTCTGTAGTGAAGGCATATGGGGTATTACAGTAAGTTTTACCAAATTCTTTCCAAGAAACAGTCCCTACTGATGGGGTAAGAACAGATCTAAGGAGACTTTGCTTTGGTATATTTACATTGAATAATATTTATAAATTTGATATTTAAATTGTAGATATATTACTTGGAAGCAACTTCTTTATCCTCAACTACTATCATGTGTTTAAAGCTATTGCTATTAAATAAGAGGTTGTATCAGGACTTAAGATATATTTTAAAAACCACAGGCATACACACATGTACACACATACTCAGAAGGTCAAATAGTTTGCAAAACTATAAAAATTCTAGCCCCTGCATTTATCATATCATTATTTTTAAAAGAAATTAATATAATAAAGTGGAAGTCATATGATCTATTTTCAAAGGAAAAATAAGGTAAAAATTTAAAATATGAAGATTATGAATCTTTATTATTTAGACTATTATGAAATAAGCAGGACAGTATCTTTTGTCACAGTGTCGTATTGCAAGTTTGACCAGCCCATGTCCCATTAGTAGGCTTATTCATATCTAGGAAGTATAAATAAATCTACAGATGTTTTGGTTTCATATGACTCTAAGGAATATAAAGAAAAATAAAAACTTTAAAATGTTGTGTGATCGCCCATTTATTTTTAGTGTTTTTTTTTTTTTTGAAATACGGTCTCCCTGTGTTGCCCAGGCTGGACGTGAACTCCTGGGCTCACCTGATACTCCTACCTCAGCCTCCCAAGTAGCTGAGATTACAGGCTCATGTTACCGTGGCTGGCTCTCCTATAATATTTAAATATAACATCAGTTGATGCAATGGACTTGTAATTGTAAATGAAACATTGTTCCTTATAGTAAATGAAATTCATATAATGTCTACTGGAGATGATTTTGCTGTTAGTTCAAGTGTTTGTGTTAACATATGGGATAGAGTATTATTAAAGTATGTCTACACTTCATCATTTTGTTTTGTTCGAACTGACAAACTAATGTAACTATGAATACCTTAAATAGTCAACACAATTAAATACAGCATAATTAATTAAATGAAATTCTAATTGCTTGAATGCATAATGTTCATGGGTCATTGCAACGGGAATCAGAATCTCTGACATGGATATTTGCTCTTGAGCAAACTACCCAGGTTTGCTTTTGAGTGTCAGCTTCGACATGTAAAATAAAAGCATTGGGTCTAATAATCTCTTTTGAAAGAAAAAAACTACTCTTTTTATGAGAACACCATTTTTACCCTTCAAACCATGGAAGATGAGCTCTCCCTCTGATCAGGAGGAAATGATTTTGACAAGGTTGTCAGTGATCTCTGAATTGCTAAAATAAGTAGGTGCCCAGCAGTTCTTGGCTTACTTGATCTCTGCAGCTTTAGATATGGAGATGGCTCTTTTATTTCAAAAACTGCCACCTTCTTTTGTTTTGTGATAGTGTTTTCCCCTGATTTTTCTTTTTCTTTGGTGGCCACACAGGTATAGAAAATTTAGTATTTTGGAACTGAGCTAAAAAACTTTGGCCACACAAATATTTCCTCTTGTATTTTCTTCCTTCGTGAATGGTATTACCATATCATTACCAAGTCAGCACACTTTGGTATAGGGTGTTACCTGCCATGAAGAAGGGGTAGATTTTTCTTCATACAAAGGTAATTTAATCTGAGCACCCCTCCTCCAATCCCACAAGGAAGAAAAAAGACTGTAATGTGTGAGGTCTGAGTCTGGTCAAATAAAGTTAAATCTTGCAAACAAGATTCTCCAGGGAAATGTGAAATGAATCAAATAGTAACAATTATCTAGGACTCAGATTTTGGAGGAGAATTAAATCTACTCTGCCCACTGCAGTGGCTGTTTGAATATTGGTTTTCATCCTGACTTTGGATGAGTTTTGGATTAGTTTTCAAGGTTATCTAGTGGGGGTAGGAAGGAAGATTTGGAGGGGATTAGGGCAATGAAGACACAACAAACTTCATGATTTTTATTAAAATGCAGCCATTTGTCTTGAGTAATCACTTTTTGGAAATCATTACTCACAATTCTCACAGACTTCATTTTTCCTTAATATATGAGTTTTTTGACATGACTTCTCAAACTTTTTCAAACAAAAACACATCTTTCTTTCATCAGCTGATGAAATATTTTACTAGTAAAATAAATGCAATCCAGAGGAACTATTTCATATTTCTACTACTAAATAAACAAATTTACCTACATATGTAATTACATTACCACCTACCCCCCTTTTCTAATGAAAAACATCTTTTTCCTATTGAAATCCAAACCAAATGGGTTGTGCTATAAATCTCATTTCCCCTCTCATACTCTAGTCTAGTTCATTCTTATAAATTTCTTCTTTCTTTTGAATTGTCATGTTTCTCTTTTTTACTGTATCATAACCAAAACCATACAACTGTAATATACTCTTTATTAAAAATTTCCTTCCTTAACTACCTGTTTTCTTGCTTTAACTGAACTGTATCTTTCCTTGCCTTTCTGCCTCAGGTTCACAACTATGTTACTTTTAACTCTTCCCATTTTCTTAACTGTAATTTCCAAGAAAGGAGCCTTTCATAGCCAAGCAATGAGCTGATTTAGTCTCTGGGGGCAAACACTGGGTCTAGGTCTGAGAAGGTCTTGTTTGAATAAAGAAGGGCTGGCTGAACTATCACTAAAAATAGAGGCAAGTGGGAGAGATCAATGTCTCAAAGGTATAAATGCAACAAACTCTGCTTAATATATCAGTTGTTCTTTACCCATATTATCCTTTAATTGCATGAAGTAAAAAGAAGTGAAAGTGTTACTGAAAGGCAGAGCCCCTGCAGTCTCAAGTATTTGTGAAGCATAGAGCCTCTTAATCCAAAGGCAGTGTCTTGCCCCCATCTCGTCCTGGCTCAAACACTTTTTAAACTGCTACATGATAATTGCACATATGTATGGGGTACATATGATATTTTGATACATGCATACAATGTTTAATGATCAAATCACAATATTTAGGATATCCATCACCTCAAACATTCATTATTTGTGTTGGGAACACTTCAAATTTTTTCTTCTACCTATTTCGATGTATATGATAAATTATTGTTAATCACCCTAGTGAAATATCAAACATGGAGGTAGAGAGGGTTATCAGAGGCTGGAAAGGATGGGCAGGGGATGAAGGGAGGATTAATAGGTACACACAAATATACAGTGAAAAAGAAAGAACAAGTTCTAGTATTCAAACACTTTGTAAGAAGAATAAACCCTGATTCATACCTCACACCATACACAAAATAACAATTCAAAACGTTGACTCAAGATAGATCACAAAAGCTAAATTTAGAAAGTTCAAAGAAAAAACATAGTAGATTATCATTGTAACTTGAATGAGGATTAAGGTTTCTTAGAATGCAAAAAGCAGTAAACTGAAATTCATCACAATTAAAAAATTTTACTCATCAAAAGACACAGAAGACAAAAAGCAAACTACAGACTGCATAATCAGATTCTAAGTACATATATTTATCAAAGGAGTAATACTTACATTATCCAAAGAACTTATTAGTCAATAACTAAAAGGACAACAACTCAATAAAATTATTACCAAGGCTGCCAGGTGCGGTGGCTCACGCCTGTGATCCTGGCACTTTGGGAGGCAGAGGCAGGCGGATCACCTGAGGTCAGGAGTTTGAGAACTGGCAAAACCCAGTCTCTACTAAAAATACAAAAATTAGCTGGGCGTGGTGGTGCATACCTGTAATCCCAGCTACTTGGGAGGCTGAGGTAGGATAATTGCTTGAACCTGGGAGGCAGAGCTTTCAGTGAGCCAAAATCGTGCCACTGCCCTCCAGACTGGGTGAGGGAGCAAGACTCCTTCTCAAAAAAAAAAAAAAAAAAAAAAAAAAATATATATATATATATATATATATGTATATATATACACACACACATATATATACGTATATATACACACACACATATATATACATATATATACACACACATATATATATATACACACACACACATATATATTCCAAAGGCTTATATGGGCACTTCATTAAAAAGATTAAAGAAATAAGGCTGGGCATGGTGGTTCACACCTGTAATCCCAGCACTTTGGGAGGCCGAGGCGGGCGGATCACAAGCTCAGGAGATTGAGACCATCCTGGTCAACATGGTGAAACCCCATCTCTACTAAAATACAAAAAATAGCCAGGCATGGTGGTGCGCACCTGTAGTCCCAGCTACTTGGGAGGCTGAGGCAGGAGAATCGCTAGAACCTGGGAGGCAGAGGTTACAGTGACCCGAGATCGTGTCACTGCACTCCAGCCTGGCGACAGATCAAGACTCCATCTAAAAACAAACAAACAAAAAAGATTAAACAAATATACAATAAACACATCGAAATATTCTCAAAATTATCACTCAGTGAAATGCACATTAAACCACAGTGAGATACCACGACTCACTAACTACAAGTGCTAACAGTAAAAAGACTAATAAATCAAATATTAGAGGGAATGGGAAATAACTGTTGGGATTATATAAACAACCTTCATATGTTGCTGGTGAGAGTATATAAAGGTACAACTTCTGTGGAAAACCATTTTGCAGTTTCTTATAAAATTAAATTTATACTTACCTTATGATTCAGCAGTTATACTCCTGGTATTTACACAAAAGATATAAAAACACAAAACAACTTGTACAAAATGAATATTCCACTCTATTTATTATAGCAAACATTGGAAACTTTCATATGTTTATCAACAAGAGAATGAATGAACAAGTTGTAATACAATCATAGAATGCAGTTATATTCCATAATTAAAAGGAACAAATACACCAAAAGGATCTGATACATGCCACAACATGATAAATTACAGAAAAAATAGGCCAGGTGTGGTGGTTTACTCCTGTAATCCCAGTGCTTCAGGAGGATCACCGGGCAACGTAGGGAGATCTCCTCTCTACAAAAAAAAAAAAAAAAGTAGAAAAAAATATACTTCAGTCTCCTTGATTAGATTTCTAACTTTCTTTCATGAAGCAAGAAACTTAGACAAGTAGAATGCCTGTATTTTATTGTAAAATATTTGCATTTTTAAATCAAATTTATTTGCTATTTTTTCTCAGCATGCTAAATTATAAATATGACATACAAATTGCTTATTACTGCATAAAAAAGATGTAAAAGTCTGTTTTTTACCATATTGCTTGATAATCAGAAAGTGATGTTTTAATCGTTTACTGTTTAGTTGTGAGGTGGTTCCTTTATACAGGCAGTTTACTTTGTTTTGGTTCTGCTTGGGGAAGTTGGTTAGAGTTTTGTAGTAGTAGTATAATGCAATATCAAGTTGTTCCTCCCTAGCATAATAATAAGCTCCAAGTTAGTGATTTCTGGCAGAATATTTAATTTCTATAAGCAGTGTACTAAATTATTTATTATTAATATTAATTGTTAATATTAACAATTATTAGTTTAATAATATTTACTAATATTAAGCAAAAAATGACTGTATTTGATTTTACTTTAATGTGTTCTTGTTTGAGCCCATGAAATGTCCCTGTGATGTCTCTGTTAAGAAACAGGCACAACAGATAGCGTCATGATGTCATAGAAAGCCAAGTAACAGATTTTATATATATTTAATTTTCTCCTGAAATAAAATTCCAAAGCAGAGGTTTCTCCTGAACTGGGCTATATAGACATATACAGTTTCTCTTCCACCTTCGAAACTACACCATATCACTCTTGTGCTATTTAGTGGTTGACAAGATGAACTTACAGATAAGAGCACAAGGCTGACTTGGCCTTCTCCATAAGTGGGAGCTCACCCTGGACTGATTATTGCTATAGCAGCCTAAAAGGAAGAAGAGAAAGGAAGCACTACTCTGATTTTCTAATTTGATCCCTCATCTCTAACTATGCATAGCTATCTTGACCAACAGATTTCCTCAGGACAGATTATACCATAGGCACTACATGATACTACAACACATAATGGGTTGCTAATACTTATGTGACATAAATTCTGTCTTCTACAGGGGATTCCCATTTCCAAAAAGAAGTTAACCAAACAAACAGAAAACTTCATAGCCAAATTTTCATTTTAAACGTATGTTTTAAAGTGCAGCAAATAAATAATAAATGCATGAAATAAATTACTTTTAAAATATATTCTGTCCAATGTTAAGGAGTGTTTTCTTTAAAGCAGTTCATACAGCTCATTCAACTGCACATATTTATAAATGTTTGAGTTTCTCATGTTTCTTCTCACAGAAATTTTTTTTTGTTTTTTGATTCATTTTCCAAATATAAGCTCAACTACTATCACTGCCTTTTCAGGTGTTATGTAATAATTTTTATTTAATGATGACAGCATAATTAAGATTTTAAAGTATACTCTATGTCTATACTCTTGCTTATTTTTTTTCAAAAGGTAGGCACAATGCTAATTTATTTTGTGTTTGAGCAAGGTACAAATATAAAAAAACATTTCTAGGAGTCTTATTTTATAAAGAAGAAAAAAGTCGTAACTCTGATCTTATATTTGTTGAAAAAAATAGTAAAAATGGAGTAAGAACTTTATTTCACTTTATGTGTGTTTTTGTGTATCTGTATGTTTGGAAGCAAACAGATAACCCGTGATTATCACTTGTCTATCTGTCCCTTAAAAATAGTACATTTGTAATATATTTGTTCTTAAGTCTGATATTTTAAGAGAGAATATCAAATAGAACAGAAAAAAATCATTTTGAAATTTTTGTCTGATCCTGATCCATTTAATCTTGAGCTCAGCTATCCAGCAGCACTTTTCCCTAAACGTGATTATCACGTTTAGGGAAACACTTCTTGTCAGACTACACAGAAAATCTTTCTGAATGTAGGCTCCTGTGAGGTCTCTTGTTTTCAGTAAGTTAGAGAACTGATGTGATATGTTTGTTTGATATAGGATAGAGTTGTGATATTTGTTGCTGTATTTGTTCATATGGTGTTTATTTTCTGGAAAACAAAAGTTCTTACATCACTCTATGAAACTCATAATGGTTTTAGATAAGCTCCGTGGAGGCTTTCATTTCAAAGAGTTCAACATTCGGTAAATAGAAATACTCTTATTAGTCATACAGAATCATTTCACAATAATGTTTTCTAATAACACTGGAGAATTTGTGGGGCCCTCTCTGGGCCACTAACCCTGTTACAAACCACATCTACTTGCAAAACAGCTAGAGTTTCAGGCTGTAGTTATCTGCCTTAGCTAGGATTGAGCAAGCAGAAGACAGCTGCTGCCCTTTCTCATCTAGCCTGTAGGGTGAGCCTTGCACGTGAATCTATCAGAACAAAAGCAATCTATTGACCTAAATGGGAACTGAGCTGATACATAACCTCTGCTAAATGATCCATATCACAAAATGGTTGATTGGAGTGCTAAAAATCTTTTTGGATATTTTAATCAGAATTTTAGTAAAGACAACACTGGTATGCTGTCTGTTTATGACACGGGCTATTAAATCTAGACTTTCCTACTTCAGTTGATTGTTTGTAACAAGAATTAAATTGTGCTTCTAAAATTCCTTGCTTGTCTCCCCCCGGTGATTATGAGCATGCTTCCTTTTCCTCGGCCAAGTTTACAAGGTTTAAATGAAAAATAGTGTTGCCATGTTACACCTATGTGATCTGCATAATAGCTCAAGATGAATAGTGCTTCTTCAACTTTAGCAAAGGAAGATCTGTATGTTTCTTAAGCACTTGAATTTTAAGCATTGTATTTGATTGATGTTCTTGAAATGATACTTTCAGTTCTTTGCTAAAAACAAGGGTACATATCTGAAAGAAGCTCATCAGTCCAATAGCTCTTACAAATGTGCTGCTTTCTGTTTTTAAATAGAAAAGCGTCTGTCCTGGGCTTTTCTTTTTTCATTCTCACAGTGGCTCATTTGCACCATTCCTAGAAATATCATCACACTTGGCAGCTTTTCATTAAATGAGGGAGTGAATTTGTCAGCGTTCTCACAGAGAGCTATATTTATCAGGGCTTGCTTTTACACATTATAAGCTTTCTGCCATCCTGGGGAAAGCATGGAGAACAGTCAGTTCCCAGTGCTTCTTGCCTGTCAGGTCCAAACAGCTCAGAATTTGTCTAGGTTCAGCCTATAAGCACTGAAGAGGAGTTTGTCTCTTTTGCAAGGGTCCAGTTTTGTTGATTTTTCTTCAAGCTGTGTTTTAAGACTAGCTAAACACCAGGTGAAGTTTTTTGTTTGTTTGTTTTTTAAGTTGGGTGCAGTGGCCCACGGCTGTAATCCCAGCAATTTGGGAGGCCGAGGCAGGCGGATCACCTGAGGTCAGGAGTTCAAGACCAGCCTGGCCAATATGGCAAAACCCTGTCTCTACTAAAAATACAAAAATTAGCCGGGCGTGGTGGCAGGTGCCTGTAATCCCAGCTACACGGGAGGTTGAGACAGGGAGAATTGCTTGAACCTGGGAGGCAGAGGTTGCAGTGAGCCGAGATCACGCCACTGCACTCCAGCCTGGGCGACAGAACGAGACTCCGTCTCAAAAAAAAAAAAAAAAAGAAAAATTTTTTAAATGGGCTTGTCATTCATTATTAGGTGAATTTTCATATGAAGACAATTATTGTATTTTCCCATGGAATCTCTAGACACATTTGTTTGTCTTGGGCAAATTCAGTATCTGTTACTTTTTGGTTTAAGGAAAAGATATTTCATACTATTGAGATTCCATCTGTGCTTGTGAGTTGTGCTGACTTCTCCTGCTTCACTGCCTGCTACATATTCTACTTACCAGCCATGGGAAAGTTTTGCAGCAAATTCAAGTTATCACAAGTGTTTGAGGGCCTTATAGAATTCTACTTTGTTATTCTCTGTATTACTACAGCTTTCGGTACAATTCCTGTAAAAGTTCCACAAATACATTGAACAAGAGGTCACGTGCTTTTAGGTGTTAAAAGATGTCCAATACCGACTTTAAAATGCCTTTTTTAAAACGGTAGGTAGGTTCTTTTCTATCCAGGAGTAAGTTCTTTATCTCAGCTTCCCTTTTGTATGTATTGGTTCACTAGTTGAATCATTCAGGAGGTGTGTTGTGTTAATTTCTCTAAATAGTAACTCAGATGTGGCAATATAAACAAGAATAATACATGTTCACTATCCTGGAGGAGTTTGTTGTGTTATATAATCTAAAATCTCATGAATGCAATCTCAATCTTCAGAAACTCCCTGAATTAACTGCTGCGTTAAGAGAGAAAACACTAGGAAAGACATGAGTAAGCCCCTAACAATGGAGGCACAGTACTGCGGGAAATGTAAGGATGTTAGAATCAGAGGATAGGGTCTCTGCCTCCGGCTCTGCCCCTGCCGCAAATGACTTTAGGTGAATCACTGTAATCTCTGGATTACAAGGTCCTCATTTGAACAATGGGAAGAGCTTATTAAATTACAGGGAGAAATGAAAGTTATGGAGAGGGTCAAAATAGCATTTGGCATATACTTTGTCTTTAATAAAATTGGCCAGAAATTATATTTGGATACCATTGCTGCCACACATTTCCAAAGAGAAACTTATACTATACCAAGACTGTGCCTCTTAGTCAAGGCAAGTTTTAAGCAATTTTGCCCTTTTTATTTTCCTATTCTGGTGACCGTTGAACTGCCTCATGACAGGACTGACTTATGAGTTGCTTTACATTTTTGTTAAAATGCAGATAGGCAAAAAGAGAAGAGAAAAATAAGACCAACAAGAAAAATGTGAAGCTTTGAAAGCTTAGGGACTCTCTAGCATTTATTTCTGTGATGCAAAGCCAAACAGTGCCTCGCACATACAGTTTACAATAAAATTTTGTTAAACTGAAAACAGACAAAAATGCCTGATGTCTCTCTGCTTTAATCTCTACAGAGGCCAGAAAAATAGACTTCCTTTTTTTCACTTTGGAAAAATGGGAAAACTTCAGAAATTATAGATGATAATTAAATTTCAGAACTACTTACTATTTGCTCTGCTGCATAGGAAAATTAAAAACGGGATCTAGAGAAATACTGTTTAGGTGGAAGAAACAAAATGGCACTGAATTCATCTGCATGTTGACACATTTCCCATAACATTTACTATAGTGATAGGCAATTGTTAAGCTAGCTTCAAGGTTACTGGAAAATACAAAGTTTTGCTTGTATAAAAGTCATAAAGTACTGCAACAATGATGATCATGATAACAACAGCTACAAGTATTTTACAGTCAATCTGTGGCTATGTGTCAGACATCATTAGGTATGTTTTATGTGTATAGTATTATTTATCTTTATAAGTTCCGTAATAAACTAGGTACTATTATTTTCAATTGAAGATGAGGGAATCAAGGCACATGGTACTTTGGCAATTTGCCTAAAGTTACACAACTATTAAATAGAATAACTTGAATTAGAACTCAGGCTGACTCTAGGGTCTATAACTGTAATGGTTATGCTACAAAATATGAAAGCAGTTGAATGTCCTTGTGTTTGCTTCATACATTCACATCTAATTTTCAAAGACAGTAAAAAAAAATCCTTGTTAGTGCTTGCTCCAAATTAATTTCAGTTATGCAACACAAAAAAGCCTCATCACTACTGTGTCCCCCCACCTCATCCTATTGTTACCAGTGCCAGGCATCTGAGTTATCCCGAGTTCCCAGTGGCGTATTCGTATAGGTCTGCAGCAAATTCAGTTCTTGTCTCCTCAGAAGAAAGAATTTGATGGAGGGACATAAAGCAGAAGAAGAGACTGAGGTGAGGTGGAAGTTTATTTTTAAAAAGAATTTAGAACAGGAAAGAAAGGAAAATTCACTTGGAATAGACCCAAATGGGCACCTGAAGATCAAAGAGATCGTTTAACATTGATCTGAGGACTTTATGGGCTCACCTCTTTCCCATGATTCTTCCCTTAGGGTGGGCTTTCTGCATGCACAGGGCCTTCCTTACCCCTGGGAATTGAGCACACAGTGTGTTGAGAAAGTTGCCCGCATGCCCATCTGAGGCTTTCTTCCCTTTTCTGGTGGAGTGTCCCCAGGAGGTCATACTTCACCATTTTGTCTCTCAATTCATATGCCCAGGTAGTTTCTTCTCCCTGGCATCTGCATTCAATTAACACTTTAATGTTATAGCTGTGGATCATCAGGAGATTGTCTCTCCCTGGTGCCCTGGCTACTGCTGCGGAATTATCATTTTTCATTTTTAGAGAGGCAGTATAATAATTGTTGAACCATCACCTGACATTCCTACTGGGTGGGGGAAGAGCCCTCTTCTGCCTGGCTCATGCCTAACTACTTGTAACACTATCCAACATACACACACTTCCAACAATCATATCCAGGCAGCCTTAGCAATCTGAACCATTGTTAACATATTTGTTCAAGTTTAAAGAATAAAGTCACTGCCTATCCATTTTTTAATGTCAAATAAGATAAATATAGACCTATTAGTAGTAAGATCACTGCCTAGCAACCTTTGTGCTAATCATAGCTTTGATATATACTGTGTATATTTTGAGATTTCTAAGATAAACTTTAATACAGTCTTAAGAAATCTACCACTACAAGCTCCCAACACTGAAGAAGGATGTTTTTTAAGGTGTCTGGGTGATGTCTTATGGACTGACTATAAATTTATACTCTCCTCACAGATGTTTATGGTGACTTACATCAAAATGCCCAAAAGAATCACATAGGTATAAGAAAATTTATACCTATATTAAGCTCACCAGTTATTAGATGTTTTATTTAGGTAAGTTTCTAAATAGCTCTAACTTGAAGTTTCATCAGTTAAAAAATGAACTAAATTATCATCTCAGTGTTATTGGATAAAAAGTGATTTTAAAAGCCAGCTGAGTGCCTGCTACATTTAAGAAGCTCAGTAATAGTTGATGGTGATAGTAAGGTTATTAATTTATAGGAAGATATGAATTTTTTTTTACAAAGATGTTCAAAGTGAACAAGTGTTCTTTGTTGGGTTCTGTCTAGCAGTCTGGTTTATCAAGCAAGAAATCTTGCAAAGGAAAAGAGCAATATATATGGAGTGAGAATATCCAGACATTAGTCCTGGCTCTTGTGTGACCTTGGAAAGGTCTTTTACTGATTATGATCCTGCTTTCTGCAGCTGCAGAGGGATACTGACCCTTATCTTTCCATCGTCCTTGACCTTATTCCCCTTCTGCTGACTTTTTCATTTGTTAGGGAACCCTACCTAATGCTTTATTCCTTAAAGCATTTTATTGGGAAAACCTCCTTTCCTCCTACTCATTGTGATCTTCTGACTGACTTCCTCTCTCCATTCAAATTCTCATCTTAAATAAGACCTTTTCAAAGGGGTCTTCACTGGTCACCCTCAATAAACCTGAATTATCCCCAACTTTATTTGCTTCTTTACAATTATTATCTGAAATTGTCTTAGATATCACTCTGTTTACTGGATGTTGTCTGTTATTTTTTTATAGAATGACATCTCTATGAAAGCACAGACCTTGTCTATCTTATTTAGTACGTTATACCCAGACACAAAGTAGATTCTCAATGAATACTTGTTGAAGAAAGAATAATTACCCTGTCATTCTAAGACAATTAGCATGAGAACAAATAAAATAACAGATATGAAAGCATCTTCTGAACTGTAAAATACATTATAAGTTACTATTATTAGATGGATCTTAACATTTTCATGTTACTTGCTCAGAGTTATACACCTATTGTGTAGGAGAATTAGAACCCAGGCAGTCTGACTTAAGGGCCTATAGCCATAGTTCTTTTTCTGCAATTCATGTGCTGTTACAGAAACTAGACAAGTTAATGAGTCCACCCTCTTCAAATAAAATCATTCTTTCTTTTATTGGCTCGAATGGGTGGGTCAAAAATATTTTGGCCTATCAATACTTCCAGTAGATAGAGCTCAACATGACCTGGGAATTTTTGCAACTTGTTTTAAGAACTTGGTACAGAATATTTATTTTTTTCATGTTATCTATGCTTTCTTTGATAAACAAAAGTGTCTTAGGATCATAACAGAGATTATTCTTCACTTTTTCCCTTTCCATGCAAAGGACTCATTGGTTGAAAAAAAGTACAAAGGAACTAAACTACACGAAGCCTATAACTTGGCAAAAAAACTTTTCCATGACCTTCAGAGAGAAATGGGGCTATATTGAGGCTGATTTCCGTATTAAGGCATATTTGCCTGGAGTGAACTCTCTTAGGATTTCATTCGCAGCTGCTAGAAAGAAAATGACTTAAGAGAAGCCATATGTACTTGTTTTATAATTGTTGCAGACACTGTTTGACAAAATTCAGGGTTTTTTTAACCTGAAATACTGTTTATATAACTAGCTTATATGAGTACCGGTTCTTAGAGTCTTTTTATGATATAATCAGAACATAAAGTGTCCTGATTTTTTTCTTTACCTTTGTCAATGTAATTTTATGTTCATTGGCTGTCTTATGTAATTTCTATATAATGTTTAGTATATATTACTTCTGGACCTGGAGCAAAGTTATCTGTTTGTTTCTTTATTAGTTGCTTTGTAAAGTTCGGCAGGAACAAACAGCTCTGTATTACTAATATGCCATCTAGAAAATAATGACCATCTATTGGCGAAATTAAACCTTAGGTAATTCTAAAGATTTATTTTTGGTCAAATATGGTATTTAATGAAATGATAAGAACTTCATAATAATAAAATATTGGTAAATACATCTGAAAATGAAAGCTTCAGATCTAACGCAGTAGGCCTGCTCATATTTTAGAAGAGCAGAGTACTTACAAAGTGGAACAATCAGAATGTTGAGAGAGCTGAAAAGCATATCATATCTCACTAACAAAACAGTGTCTTTAACCTAGGAAAAAGGAGACTACAAGAAGACTTCCTCCTTTTCTCAGTATTTGAGAAAACATCATATTGCAGAGTATTTCAACTTCATGCTATACAGTTGCAAAGTGGGAGTCATGGGAACACAGATTTCTTTCAGCCCCGTTTCTGACTCACTCTTTGGAGAGCAAGTGTGCTGTGTTGGGAGATGGTAAGATTCCCGTTACTAGAAATGCAGAGAGAAGAGATATATAGAGATACAAGACTGCTTAGTGGAGATGGTACAGATACAAATGCATTTTTGTGGGGATTGACAAATAAACTTTAGGTTACTTTCACATTCTGGAATTCAGTGGAATATGCATTAGCAGGGTCAGAGCACTGTATGGAAAAAGACCTGAGATATAGAATTAATTCTTTTGGAGACCTTTGCGGGACTTTGGTCACATCATTTAGCACTGTTTTATTATCTGCAGTATCAACTTTAGAGCCAGTCAAGTGCTCAGGGGCAACTGCACTTATGAGCACTTCTCTTGATAAGTTTCTGGTTGCCCTTAGTTGCCTGGGACTACTCAGAACAAGCTGTGCCCAGTAGGATTCCCCAAACCAATGTGAGGGGCCGTGTGGGCCCCACTCTTTAATTTACTTCTGAATTCTCTCTGAACTCTACCTACATGGACAAGGTGGAACAGATGCTCCAATGAGCTCCAGAACCAACACATATGTAGTTTTCTAAGGGTCCTGTGTTTGAGCTCAGGCCTGGGAAGTTGATTGCCCACAGTGGACAGCTTGGTATTTCTTTGGACAAATTGAATGAGATTTGGCTTTCTGAATTTTACTGCCATCCTGGTTCTCACTCATGCTAGACGCAGGATGAGTTTAGGCTCTGGATTGCTAGTGATCCACTGTGAAACCTTGGGCTAAAGCCATGTGTGTGGCTTCATGTGTAAGTTCCCACTCATCCATATTTCAACCTCGGTTTAGCCTCCAGGATGCAGCGACCAAGAGCAACAGTGCCGGCAACAGGCATCCTTTACCCTGTGCACCTTCTGTTACTGGCACTCAAGCTGGCCACCTCACCATGTACGCAGTCTCTGTGCCACATTCTCCGTGTAGTGGTAGAGCCTATGTCTTCCAAGGACTTTAAAGATTTTCTCCTCAAATGCAGTAGGACTGTCCAGTTGACATTCTTTCTTTCATCCAATACATGCAGTGACATTGTCCTTTCCCAGGTTAGTCTTAAATCATGCTGGATAAAGAACAGACTTTCCTGGTATGAATGAAACTGCTTATTTCTCTGATCATGGATCTCTTGCCTGTTCTTTCCATTGTTGATTGTGTGTGGGAAGCAGAGGTATGGTTAACATTGAAATACGTTATCTTCTAAGAAAGCAGTGGTCAAGACCTAGAGTTCAAGAGAATATATTATTTGAAAACGTTTTCTTTTATGTTACGTAAAATTATAAATGGTAGATTTAACATTATCAGAAAATGAATTATCACGTACATTTTACTATTTTATCTGGATAAAACTTGAATTTGTAGTCATTGTCAACAATGCTCAATAATAACTTCTGAGAGAGTCAATAGAAGTCAGTATTTATGGGTAACACACTAGATACTGCAGCATTATAAAACATGGAATCAACTTAAATTCCCACCAGTGACAGACTGGATAAAGAAAATGTGATATGTATACACCATGGAATACTATCCGGTCATAAAAAAGAACAAGATTGTGTCTTTTGTAGGAACATGGATGAAGCTGGAAGCCATTATACTTAGCAAGTGAATGCAAGAACAAGAAACCAGGTACTGTAGGGTCCCATTTATAAGTGGGAGCTAAATGATAAGAATTTATGAACACAAAGAAGGAAACAACAGACACAGGGGTCTACTTGAGGGTGGAGGGTGGAGGGCGGGAGGAGGGAGAGCAGCAGAAAAGACAACTATTGGGTACTGGGCTTAATACTTGGGTGATGAAATAATCTGTACAACAAACCTTCATGATACAAGTTTACCTAGGTAGCAAACCTTCACATATGCCCCCAAACCTAAAATAAAACTTTAAAAATAAATAAATAAAATTTAAAAAGAAATTATGTAATTAGCATTAAATAAATGGTATCGAGAACTGTAAGGACAACAAGTTTTATATTTTTTAATACAAGCATGTTCTATAAAGCCATGATATTATGGATAATAACAGTGTTGTGTTTTTCTCAAGAAGGGGGATGTGAAATTAGTCAGTGATAGCATATTTCACAATACAGAACGTAAGAGAGAATTTATAAACTGGAAGAGGAAGAGATGGTACTTGGGCACTATGAAGAATCTTCATGGCTACTGAATGAACAATGAATAAACATATAAGTACCTCCTCTTTAAGCATTATTCTACGTCGTCATCAGTAAATTACTACGTTTAATAGGCATCCAGGAGTTTCCTACTACATTTTTTAATCGAGTTGTTTGTAGAAATGAGAGCCTCACAGAAATTATTTTCTCAGGGTACCACATATCCTAGCAATGGCACAGATCATTTATTTCAAAAATTGGCCTTGATTCTGTAAAAAGTCCCTTTACTCTAAAAGGCTAGCTTTTAAATATGCATTTTATTATATATTTCATACATATGTTTGGAATCGTTTTCAGTAAACTTAATAAGAATAAGCAAACTTAAATAGGGTAAGCTTGATGCACAAATAAGGTGAAATATTGTGTGACAGGCAAGACAAAAAAGTTGGATTAGGTTTGAATACTGGTGAAAATAATAATTGGATCTGGCCTAGTCTATTAACTTTACTACTTCACTGGCAAACAAGCTATGCAAAGGATTCTTATACAAATGCAAAAATAAGTAATGGCAGAGGTGGATGTGGCTTCAACATTTTTAGTTCTCCATAAAGACATGGCTAAAGTTTAGATATTCACCTGAAGTACAGAATCTTCCATGTTAGATTCTGGGAGAGCTACTTATTATACTACTTTACCTGAGAGTCTGAAAAGGGCCTTCGTCACTGCCATAACCACAGCCATACAGTTAGCCAATTGGTTTCTTGCTGCACAATTTAACACTCTCAAGAGTTCCTTAAGTGGGCCTACCCATGGCCTACTCTATAGATAGTGACGTTTTCATTTGCACAAGTCCCTTTCATTTTAATATGGGTCCAATGGGAGTCTCTTAAATTGAAAGAACCCTACGAACAATTAAAATATGAAGGTATATGTCGAGAATTAAAATTGCCCAGCTTTATATGCCTTCCTCACCAATAAGACAAGTTAACTCTACACTTTCAATCAAAGACTAATGGGTTTAATTACTATTTAATATAAGTATATCTGATGCCAAGATGTTATTCCCCCTGAAGCATGAAGCATGATGTTACTCAGGGGCAGATGAGAGGAGATGTAGCAGCCATGGGTGTTGGCATTGAATCTGGAGTAAGAGTTGGGGACTTGTGAGGATTTGTAGGAAGAAAGGTGATATAGTAGCTCCAATGATGTTTCCAAACTAACATATCAGGTTTCATACTGAAATGTGAGGAACCAGAGATTCAGAGATTGCACAGAATAGAGTAGATACATATGTGTTTGGGTGTCAGACAATTTGACTTTAAACCTCATTTACTATTTACTGGCTGTGTCATATAGAACAGAGCTGCCATCTATGGTTGTGCAGGTTGTGCGCTGTCCAAATTCTCTCAGCCAGTAAGGATTCAGCAGTGATCTTGCCGAGGGATGCTCAGGGCTGCTTCTGCCTAGAAGCAGAGAAGCCTTTTTCTCATTCCCACAAAAGTACTATGCATCCTGAGGGTGCTAGTTAACCTCTCTGAGTCTCAATTTCCTCATCATAATATTTACCTTGTAAGGTTGTTGTGAAGAGTACAGATAATGTGTGTGAAAAGCCTCCAATAATATAGACACCTAATTAGAGGCTGTTAGACTAATAGGAATCTTGCTTTGTGCTCATCCCTGTGTGTGGACACGTGGGGGATTATATCACAATATTGTCTTCTAGCAGATTATGAATTATGTGTTGAAAGCAAAATTTTCACGTTAGCCATATTGAGGGGGAGAAGTCAGGGTTGCCTAGGGAATTAAGTAAAGTGTCATGACAGAATCTGAGGCATTTTATTCTGTGCAAAACTATACCTCCTTTTAAACAAATGTTTTAAAAAATATCCTGTTTTGGAGCATTCATATTCATTATAATTGATACTATGCAAAATAGCCCTTAAAAATAAGCCTGACATGAAATGTAGCAACATGTTAACAGGATAGAGGGAGCACAGAGAAGAGGACTCTAGAGTTAGAGAGACCATGGCTTAGACCTTTGCTCTGGTCTTTACCAGCCTCATGCTCTTTAACAAATTCTTCCTGAGATCCAGCTTCATCAGTAAAAGTAGATTATGTAATAAAACCTATCATATGCTTTCGCTGTGAGAATTGAATGAGATCATGAAATAAATAACTGTAAACTATTAATAGTATTACCATATTGAGCAGAAGCACTAAAGGTGATTGACTTTATACATTTCTCAATTTTCCGTTTCTCTAGAATGAGCATAAATTATCTTTATAACAGAAAAATATAAACTTAATTTTTAAAGCATTTCAGTGATATACAAACTGTGATTGTGTGCATGTAAGGAAACAGAATCGAAAGCAATGGAACCGTCTCAAGGCCATGCCTGTCAGATGAAGCACAAAGTTCTTTCTTAAGTTTATCTTTTTTTCAAGTGGGCACTGCTGAGTTTTTATCTAAATCAGCAAAAGAGAGGAAAGAGTGAGTGTCTAGGTTAAGGATGCCAGTTTTTTTTTTGAGCGGGGGAGAGGGGTAGAAGAACAGAGCACAAAGGTAAATTTGAATTTCAGATCACTAGTAAATTTATTTGTTAGTATGTTTTCATGTTTTTTTAATCAACAAATGCTAATTTGTTGATTGAAAAAATGCTGCATTATGAAATATATGAGATATGCCCCCATACAATATTGAGACATACCCCAAAATAGTACTTATTGTTTATCCTAAATAAAAATTTAAATTGGCATTCTGTATTTTATCTGGTAATCCTATTCAAAAGCTTACACTTTGCAAAAGCTTACACCCATTATCTTTCCAGTGGCAATGCTACTCTCTCAGACCTGCTGAGCTAAGGTCTGCCTAGGCTTCCCAAAGAGAGAACAGAATGGGCCACCAAGGCCATCAAGATTCTTCTCCTTACTCAAGGAATAACCAGGTTATAAAAAAAAGTAAAACAAAACCAAAATATTAAGCAGAGGTTGAAGAGGATGACAGTCTGACATAAAGGTTCCGTGTCTGTTGCAGCACCTTGAAATACTGAGGAAGCGACGGGACCAGGAGGTTATTTAAATTTAACATAAGCAAGGCTAGTAATCCCTTGGAACAGCCTTTCAAATAAACTTTACAAGGCAAGCATACATGCATTTCCTCTAAAGAGGTCAAGGTATGAAAGAAATAATTCATCAAATGCACAAACCTAGGTAACAGTGCTGATACTAGGAATCAGGGTGGAAAGCACAGTGCAAAAGGGTCTGTGGGCTGTGAACATTTGGAATCTCAAATGTGGTATGTGAATCTGAAGCACATTTGAGACCAAGAGCACTAAATGCTGCCAGTAAGAGATATCTACGTGTGACTTTCATGGTGCCATATAATATGTTTTTGAAATGTTCGTGGCTCATATACTGAAGTTAAAGTAGTTTTTATGTAGTTAAAGGTTTGAACAGTAAAAGAACTCTTCAGCTTCGGAATTACCTGCGAGAAGAACTGATAGCGTATTATTCGAGTGCTAATTTGTTGATTGAAAAAATGCTGCATTATGAAAAGATGGAAGGTAATCCCCGTTCTACTTTCCATTACAAATGTTTTCCATTTGGGTGATGGAGAAGTTAGGTTTAGAATCCTTGTTGCTTTATTTTTTATTTTCATTATGTAAGCATTATTCAAACACCTTCGGAAGAATTGCTTTTGTGTAATAGTTTACAAATAATTATGTAGAAAGATTATGAAAGTCTAATATTTAAGATTTCTAACCTACTGCATTGGAAAAAAACCATCCTCTTCGCGAGTGATTATGAAACAGCTTTAACATATATTTATGTGCAAAATATTTTGTCTTTTATGATATTTTGGTAAGAAGGAGTTTTTAGAGCAATTAATAATGCATTAGATGACAGCTTATCATTGCTTTTTTTAATCAAATGTCTCACTGCACCACTTTGTAATTTCACTCTCAGCCATCTGCCAAGTTAGGTACTTTCACCACGTATTGTTTTATATATGTGTCCTACTTTGAAACTCTCAACGTTTTTTTGGCTTTGTTTTCTACTGACACAAAATTCAAATAACTGAATGTGTGAATGTTCCATATTTTTGTACAAATATAAGTATCATGGAAAATATACATATATTACGTGAGAAATACTGGTCTTTAAGCTTCATTTAGTTGAGTGCTTACTTCTTGATAAAGTAATATTAATATTTCTTAGTGGAATGCTTTTTATACCTGGAAAAAAATTCTAAGATTTTCCTTGACTTTTGATTATCTCTAGCTATGGTGACAAACAGTATGTTTTCTGCACCCACTGCTGGTAGGCCATTCCTACAAATATGGATTCAGGAAGTGAACAGGATAAAATTATTGTTCCTCATGTCTACATGGTAAACATGAGTGGCATAATCAATATTCTAAGAGATGATATATAACAGAGGTCTCCAACACCCAGGCCATGGACTAGTAGTGGTCCGTGGCTTGTTAGGAACCAGGCCACACAGCAGGAGGTGAGTGGCGGGGGAGGGAAACTTCATCTGTATTTACAGCTGCTGCCCATCATTTTTTCACATTATTGCCTGAGCTCCGCCTCCTGCCAGATCAGTGACGGCATTAGATTCTCACAGGAGCACGAACCCTATTGTGAAGCGCACATGAAAGGGATCTAGGTTGCTCCTTATGAGAATTTAATGCCTGATGATCTGTCACTGTCTCCCATCACCCCCAGATGGGACTGTCTCATTGCAGGAAAACAAGCTCAGGGCTCCTACTGATTCTACATTATGGTGAGTTGTATAATTATTTTATTATATATTATAATGTAGTAATAATAGAAATAAAGTGCACAATAAATGTAATAAAATTGAATTATTCTGAAACCAGCCCCCAAATCCCTGGTCTATGGAAAAATTGTCTTCCACAGAACCAGTCCATGGTACCAAAAAGGTTGGGGACCACTGATGTATATGACAGAGAAAGTCTGCTAACATTCATTGAACACTGTGGTAGGCTATAAAATGCTCCCACCCTACCAAAAATGTGCCTGTAGTGTAATCCCTGGAGCCTGTAAATGTTACCTTATTTAGAAAAAAGGGTCTTTTCAGATGTAATCAAGCTAAGAATCTTGAGATGAGAAGAAGATTGTCCTGCATTATCTGAGTGGACACTAAATACCATCACAAATGACTGTACAGGAGAGAAACAGAAAGGAGGAGACATACACAGAAGAGAGTAAAGCTTTGTAAACGTGGAGAGATTGGAGTGATGTGGACTCAAGCCAAAGAATGCCGGCAGCCATCAGGAGCTAGAAGAGGCAAGAAACTGATTCTTCCTTAGAGTTTCTGAAGGTAACATGGCCCTGCCAACACCTTGATTCCAGGCCAGTGAAATTCATGGTGAACTTTTGGCCTCCAGAATTGTGAGAAAATATTTCCATTGTTTTAAGCCATCACGTTTGTGGTAATATTTTAAGGCAGCCTCAAGCATCTAAGGTAGAAAATGGCTGTGTTCTAGGTATAAATATGTGGTAGGTGTTTTTGTTATGTTGTATTTATCCTTTAGGATTACTTGTACGATGAGGAAGATTATTTCTTGTCTTAATTTTATAGAAGAGGAAAATGAGGCTGATATAACTTGCCTAAGTTCCCACAACTGGAGAGCAGCAGGGTCAAGATACAAAAGCTTATCTATCTGGTCCCAAAGCTCATGGTGCGTTTAACTACTCATATTTTGCTCACTAATATACCATTACTTTAAACACTACCTGGAACACTGATGGCCCCATCTTTAAGGGATTTACTGTCAAGGTTCCTAAGTAGTAATGGAAAGAACAGAGAACCATTTCCTTACATAATAAAGCTTTCATCATTACTTGCTACGAGAAAATATTCAACAAAAATCTCTTGTATCTGTGTATTCTTTTATTTCCCACTATATTATATTTTCACACAAATTTGGCCAGCTAAATATTGAGCAATCCATTAGGAAGGCTTTAAAACTGGTTGTTATTAAACAAATACCACACACAGCACACACACACACACACACACACACACGTCCTGGTGTACATATAGGTTTCCCAAAGCCTTGACAGGTGGAGTTTCTTTTCATGAAAATATCAGCTTTGCTCACTAGATCAAATTTGGGAAAGCCTGTTTGTTACCAAGGAAAATAATCAGTTTTCATTTTACATTACCTAAGAAAAGAATAAAAATCAGAATGAAAATGTTAAGCAACATGTACACATTAAATGTATTCATTATAAAATGATCACATGTATGCATTTCTGTTTCAAATGGCTTCCTATTTTAAAGCAATGGAAACTATAGTAATGTGCTTCTTTTTCTCTGTCGCCTTTTATTTCACTTGTAATATGCTAAGACAGCACATTCAAATCTAGATCTAATTTTGTTATTAATGTCTTATCAAATTAGGTACAGAGGCTACTAAGGCTTTCTTGAATTACCAATCAGTCCCACAAACTTCACTGTCCCAGCTCATTAATATATACCTTCCTGCCTTCAGTTTTACTCCAGTTCTCAGGCCAGTGACTTTCAGTGAGAAGTGATTTAGAAGGTACTCTTTAGTACATCTAGATAGAATTAATAGGTAGGGTGCATTTTGTCCAGGTAAATCTGCAGCAATGACTACAAAGGTTCTTCACTGTAGACATGAAAATATTCATTTAAATTGAATGAACCCATTTAAAAGAAGGTAAAGAAATGATTGTTATATTAAGTGGGGAAACCGAAAAAACTAGATTTCTACATGCAAAAGAAGGACCCTGGACCCTTATCTTACACATGATGCAGAAAAGTCAATGCTAAATGTATAAAAGACCCAAACATAAGACCATGAAATGTAAGACCTAAATGAAAGATCATGAAATTTCTAGAAAACCACATAGAGGAAAAACTTGACATTGGCCTTGCAATGATTCCTTGAATATCACACTAAAAGCTCAGATTACAAAAGCAAAAATAAGTAAATGGGACTACACCAAACCAAAAAGTTTATGGATAGTAATATGGTTTGGATTTGTGTCCTGCCCAAATCTCATGTTGAATTGTAATGCCCAGTGTTGGAGGAGGGATCTGGTGGAAGGTGATAGGATCATGGGGGTGGACTTCTCCTTTGCTGTTCTTGTGATAGTGAGTGAGTTCTCACAGGATTTGCTTGTTTAAAGGTGTGTAGCACTTGCAGATTTTCTCTTTTCCTCCTTTTCTCTTTTCCTCCTTTTTTGGCCATGTAAGATGTGCCTGTTTCCCCGTCACCTTCTGCCATGATTGTAAGTTTCCCGTGGTCCCCTCAGCCGTGCTTCCTGTGCAGGCTGTGGAACTGTGAGTCAATTCAACCTCTTTTCTTTATAAATTACCGAGTTGCAGGTAGTTCTTTATAGCAATGTGAGAATGGACTAATGGAAACAATCAACAAAATGAAAAGGCAGTGTACAGGTTGGAAAAGAAATATTTGCAAATTACATATCTGGTGGTGTCATGGGTGAAAATTGATTGACCATATATGTTTGAATTTATTCTGGGCTCTCTATTCTGTTCTATTGTCTATGTTTCTGTTTTTATGCCAGTACCATACTGTTTTGATTACTGTAGCTTTCTAATATAATTTTAAATCAAGAAATATAATGACTCCAGCTTGGTTTTTCTTTCTCTGTACTGCTTTGGCTATATGTATGTGTGTGTGTGTCTGTGTGTGTGTGTGTTTTCATACAAATTTTAGGATTCTTTTTATATTTTGATGAAGAATGCTATTGGAATTTTGATAGGAATTGCACTAAATCTGTATATTGCTTTGAGCATTATGAATATTTTAACAGTATTCTTCCTATCCATGTACTTGGGATATCTTTTCATTTATTTGTGTCTTCTTTAATTCCTTTTATTATTAATGTTTTATAGATTTCAGTGTACGAATCTTTCTCTTTGTTGGTTAAATTTATCTGTAGGTATTTATTTTTTGATACTGTTATAAATGAAATTGATTTCTTGATTTCTTTTTCAACTAGGTCAGTATTTGTGTGTAAATATGTGAAAATGCAACTGATTTTTGTATGTTGATTTTGTATCCTGCAACTTTACTGAATTCATTTATTATTTCTTACAGATTTTCTGGTATGTGAAATATTTGGGGTTTTCTGCATATGGGATCATGTCATCTGCAAATAAAGATAATTTCAATTATTTCTTTCTTATTTGGATGCTTTTATTTTTTTTTCTGGAATGATTTGCTCTTGCCAGTGCTATGTTGAATACAAGTGGTGGGAGCAGACGTATCTGCCTTATACCAGATCTTAGTGGAAACGCTTTCAGTTGTTCCCCATGGATTGTGATGTGGGTTTTTCATAAATGGGCTTTATTATGTTGAAGAACTTTCCTTCTATTCTTAGCTGTTAAGAGTTTTTATTAAGAAAGATTGCTGAATTTTGTCAAATACTTTTTTGTGTGTCAGTTAAAATGACTATGTGGTTTGAGGCACAATTTTTATGCAGTCAAATGCACAAATCTTAGGTGGACAGCACAAATATTCACATCAAGATATGGAATAT